>NC_000003.12:130372240-130523755 GCF_000001405.40 Homo sapiens | reverse complement strand
TTCCTCCCTCTGGGTTCCTCCCAGAGCTGCTACATCAAAGTGCCCCTTTAACTTACACCTTCCAGGATGTAGCCTTTACTGTCTCAAAACATCATGAGGCAAGGCAAGCCTAGTTCTACCTTGCTGAATCCAAAATAACTTCTATGTATTGAGCACCAACTTAGGTGTCAGGAACCCCAGATCCATAATTTCATCAACTCCTCTCAATCACCCTGTGCTTGAATATTGTTTCCACTTTGATGAGAAAACTGAAGTTCAGATAAGTTAGGTGACTTGCCCATGATCATCAGCTAGTAAGGAACCTGATTTCAGCTCATTATTCATACAACAGATACTTCAGTAGCTGGCACTGAAGGCAGTCTGGTGAACATGAAACACTAAGAAATAGAGCTTTTAGTGGGAGAGCGATATGGCTAAGGAAGCCCAGGCTATTGTGGGGATCCAGGGAAGGGCACTTTTCCTAGTAAGGGGGTCCAGTAATGCTTTTTCTCAAGGAATGAACATAGTAGCTAAGTTCTAAAGGGAAAGAAGCAGTTAGCCAGGTTGAGAGTCTGGAGAATATGGTTTTAGGTAGAAGAGATTCCAAAATGCAAGTGGCAGGAGGTGAGAGAGAGCAAGATCTCCCTAAAGAACTAGAGGACTGGGAGTAGTGGGAACAAAATAAGAAGGCATGATGCAGAAGACACAGTTAAGGTGGAGTGGTGGGAGGATTTTCAACCAGGATAAGGATTTTGGATTTTACCTAAAGCCATTGGAGCATTTTAACCAGAGAAAAGTGTGAGCAGATGTTTTCAGGCTGAAGTGTGGAGAATGCTACAAGAGGGGCATGACTAGATACAGGGAGGGGCACTAGGAGGCCGGTGTTGAGTGAAATAGATGACGGTGTTTTGGAAATGCAGTGATGACAAGGAGAATGGAGAGAAGTTTGTAGAGATTGTTAGGAAATTAAATTTGTAAGACTTGGAGACTGATTAGATGGGACTGTTGATGAAGTGAGAAGGACAGATCCTCAAGGCTACTTCAAAGTTTTCTGATGGGGCCACTGGGTTGTGCCATTCGCAGGAAGAGGGGAGGGTTTGGGGGAAGATAATGAGTACCATTTGGGACTTGTTGGACTTGTGGTGCAAACAAATCTTCAAGTGCCTTGTGGGCAGTTAGATATCTGGGACTGGAGTTCTCAGGAGAGGTCTGGCCTGGCGGTATGGATTAGAAAATCACTGATAAATAAATGGTGACCCAACCTGTGGAGGGGATAGGAACACCCAGCAGGAAAATAAAGGGCCCAGCATTATCTTCACTGAGCATGTGTTTGAACCACTTTCCAGAACCTCTTTACATAACATGAGCAGAATATGTTCTTTGTGCTATTTCTCTAATTATGGGATCACACTAAACCCTCATTGTTCTGGAGTCACACCAAATCTTCACTGATATCTCCCTCCATGTCCCATGACAGTTTCCAAAAAAGGCGATGAGAATTTAGGATCCAGTTATGACCAATAAGATACAAGTTAAACAAGACACCAAGACACCAATGAAACAGTATTAGCTACAGACAAAATTCTGTTCTGCACTGTGGAAAGCAAGAATTCCATTCATGATTTACTTTTTGGCTAGAATGGCATCTATAGTCCACTTGGCTAAGTATAAGCTATACTTAGTTTACTGCAGTATAACTTATACTGCATTTACTGAAATAGCCAAAAAGTTTATGGTAGACTGGGTTCTCCCAAAAGCAGACCCTGGACAAGAATTCATTCAATTAGTTTATTTGGGAGGTAACTCCTGGTAAAGGAGTGGAGAAGTGAGACAGAGAAGGGAAAAAAGTCAATGTTAATGAGCAGGTAGGTTACCACTATGAGCAGCTGGAGCTCGGTTCCATTGGGTACCTCTGGAGGAATGTATGGTTCATACCTCAAAAGTTGCCTCACCTAAGATGTGAGAAAGTGGGGTATTTACTCACCAACTTTCATATATTATTGGGTAAGGTATTGCTCCAGGGGTGTTTACTTCCAGGCCCTTCTGGCCTACCCTACATGGGTCAGGCAGGCTCCCAAGGCCTGATAAAGCCCTCAGACAGAGTCACAGTGCTTGAAGTAAGAAGCCTCCAGCATGCACTAAAAGAAGGAACACAGTGGGAAAATATGGGCAGGGCCCTCACATTATCTGTAGCCAGCAGAGAGGAGAAAAGCCTGGATATTGAGGGAATCTGCTACAGTGTATAATGTCATCTTCACATTAAAGTTTCTAGCTGTCCCAGAGAAAATGTGAAAGTAAACAAGATTATAAAGTTAACTACACATGCTGGCTTAGGATGAGGTAGGGGTACGAAAATATGGTACACAGACCATTTGACATACTGTGGTATTGTTTTATAACAAACAGTAATAGCCAAATATGACTGTGACTTGCTTATGATCTTCAAAGTTCTATTGTATTTGGAAGCATATAATGGAGAATTTTAGTCAGAATTTCTTACCAAACATTAATCAAGTTGTTTTTAACGGACTAAATAAGTGATTAGCTTATGGTTTTTCAAGCCAACACAAATGCCTTTGCCAACTAACTCTGGCAAAATCTTTCCCCTCTAAAGTGTAGGATACAGTACTTAGAGCAATACAAAAATATTTTAGAGTCAAATCAATGTTCACATCCTTAACTGTAAATGGTTTTAAAATGGTTACATGTATATTTATTTGTGCCTTTGTGACTTAAGGAGAATACTGAGGTTTACATTTGCAAGACTAAGTTGGTTTGTATATTCTATTCTTCTTCCCTCCCCTCTACCAGTTGAGCATTTGGGGAAAAATTTTCTCATCATTCCAAAATTAAATGAGTACATCTCCTTAGACTTGTTCTTCGGGACTGTTAAATGCATTAGTTTTTAGGGTTATGTCAGTCAATCAAAATAGCTCATAAAGATAAGATTTAGAGTCAGTAGTGATAGACCAGGTGTTTTAGTAAGACTGAACTTCAGAAGTAGAGACACAAAGATGATACTGCCTCCTTTATCTTGTCCCGAGATTTTTCACGTTAGGAATTTTCCCTGAGATTTTGCATGTTATTGGATTTTCAAAGTGCAACTGCTACAGCTTTACATGAGATGCATAATTTAGCCAGAATTTTGAAATTTTAAGTCCTTCACTTACCAAATATTACTGAATACCTACTAAGTGCTAGGTATTGTGGGAAGCATTAGGGATACAAGAGACACAAAAGATCTTTTCTTCTGTACATGACTTATATTAGCTAATGGTATCTATTTTTATGTGGTAATCTCCTCTAAATTTCCATGCCAAGGCCTTGGGGTCACCTCAAGAAAAAACCAGTTTTGGAAGGAGGGCGAGGAAACAGAAGAGGAATTGAGAATAAGATTCAGTTATTTTTTCATTTAGAAAGGTCGGCCTTTAGTCACTATTTTGTAAAGGATCATTTATGCCTTTTAAATTCCTTTGAAAAACTTAGCGTAGCTTTTGGTAACTGCTTTAAAATTCAGAAAATCTAAATATAATACTCTTCTGCTGAAAGTAGAAAGACATTTTTATTATTGCAAAAGCATTAGCTAAAGAAATTAAAACACTGAGTGCACTTTTAAAAGCCTCCTACCTGCAGGCATAATTTGACCCTCACGGAAAAGTCTCCTCAAATGCTAAAGCCTAAGATATGAAGAAATTTGTAGTAAAAGCAAAACAGCCACAATCCTCAAACATCTCTTCCAGGATAGCAGCATGCCAGAGTGACAGGCCCTAAATGATCTCCATGATCTCTACAAACTAGAACACTTCCAAGGAGATTACAATGTTTGGCGGATCATTCGTTCCTGTTAATCATGTATTACATTCCATGGAAACAAAGTATTTGAGTGAGGTCAGAACACAGGATAAAATTGGGCTCAATAGTAACTAAATTATTGGAAACAATTCTATTTGCCTGATCTAATGATGATGATGGCTTTACCACCACCATCGCCATCACCATTGTCCTCATTTATTGAGCACTTGTGCTTGGCATTTTACGAAGATCTTGTTTTTTTCCCCATACACCCCTGTGAGGTAGGTAGATATCACTGCCCTATGTGACAGGTGACAAGAATAAGACTCAGAGAGGTAACTGCATTGTTTGAGTTTGTCTATAACTTGAATCTAGACCTGTTGGAGAGCAAAGCTAATCTACCTTATACTTTAAATAACGACAATAAGGTCAGGAAAGGAAAAAAAATAATTTTGGCCAACAATCATCCTGGAAAAGTCATGTTCATGAATCTTTTAGAAGCATAAGAAGAAGCATAGAAAATCTAATCTTCCTACTTATTTCTTAGGACTGTAGGAATGAGTATTCTTAGATTACAACACATAATCATTAGTCTGGATCACTTTTATATATTTGCAGGGGGTCTAGCTCACAAACCCATATTTTTGAGGAATTCCAGGGTCAGCGGATATTTACTGACAGAGAAGTTCTTTTTAGTCATTTTTAAGACCATTGTATTAGTGGGACTTTATAGTGTACTAAGTATAGAGATTATTAAATAAGGCACCAATTTTTATTCATAATTTTTACAACCTGATCTTCATTTGGTGACTTAATTAGATGCTCTTGATACTGTCTATACAAATAAATAAATATTTTCTGCAAAATATTCAAAATACTGAAACTTTCTGAAATTCAGACTATCTGAAGGGAATGGAAAAAATGAAAATTGCAAGTATTTATATTCAACAATAGTATTTCCGGAGAATTGGTTCACAAAAAATTTAGCAAAATTAAATTTTTTAAATTACTAAAATATAAAAGCCAAAGATGATTCTCCAATGAATGCTTAACCTAACATCTTTCATGAACATTATAAAATTTGATTTCACATGGCACAACATCCAAAACACACCTTCTTTTGAGGCACGGTATTTTTTTTCTCCTTCTTTTTCTCTCCTCTGCACTTCTAATATTTTGGAATAAAATGAGGGAGAAATTGCTGTAATCCCAGCACTTTGGGAGGCTGAGGCGGGCGGATCACCTAAGGTCAGGAGTTCGAGACCAACCTGACCAAAATGGAGAAACCCCGTCTCTACTAAAAATACAAAATTAGCCGGGCATGGTGGCTCATGCCTGTAATCCCAGCTACTCGCGAGGCTGAGGCAGGAGAATCGCTTGAACCCGGGAGGCGGAGGTTGCGATGAGCTGAGATGGCGCATTGCACTCCAGCCCCGGCAACAAGAGAGAAACTCCGTCTCAAAAAAAAGGAGAAATTAATTGACAACCTCTTTTATAAAGACAAGAACTATTAAGGCTGTGTATTTTAAAGAACATTATTTAGAAGTTTCAGGATTTTTATGTAAGTGACTTCCTCTATGAAGACACTGAACAATAAATTTAACATTGAACATTTTATATTAAAAATACTACTCATTAAATAGATTAGTTTAGAAAAAGTAACATGACTGCTGAATTCTGTAACTATAGAATTCTTAACAGAAAACTGCTGTTATCCTTCCTGCCACAAGTGTTAGGATTTTTACTGTCTCAGATATTCCTAATCACCGTCACCACCCCTCTCTCCTATCACCCCCACACCCATCCACTGGCAAAAGGTCCTCTTTAAATATATCCATAGAGTAGACTTTTAACAAGAGAATGAGAAATCCTTGTCACAAAAGGACAAAAAAGAAAAGAAAATCACTTCCTAGTTTTAACATTTTTTTTCCTCTTCCAGCCTGCCTCCTCTCCTCTTCAAAATTACTTGCATGGTTGATACTGAGCCAGGTAATTGGGGTTCCGCTCAGAGTAGAATGTTTCTGGGAATTGAGAAAAGGGTGCATTTTCTCTGCTTTCCTTCCTCCCCTCAGACAGCAGTAAAAGTCCAACCCTCTTTAATAAATTTGTGTGAAGTGCAAGAACAAAAGTACAGACTGGGAATGTACAGGCTTGGGAGTGACTTTTCCTGACTCACCCTGATTAACTCCATTCATTTGTTTCCGAGAGTGGTCCACTGTACATGCCACTCGCCAGGCCCTGTGCTGTGAGGACACAGTGTTGGGTGACGCACCTCTCAGGAGGCGCCCTGGTGCGCGGTGGGAGACGCGGAGATGGGAGCAGAGAATGACAAGAGTGTGCTGTAGGTTCTTCAACAGTCGGATGCGAAAAATTAAAAGAAAGACGAGGTGAGGGCAGTTACTCTTGTTTGGAGGAGGAGAAAAGCCAAAGGAGGAGTTTTTGAGCTTCTGAAATTCACTTATTTCCCTCCACCGCAGTCTTTCTCATGCAGCCTCCTCTATTCTGGCCGGTCCCTCCCATCCAACTACTGATCACTTGTAAACCTAGTTTTGGCTCTTGCTGTCCCAGCGTTGGCTCCTGGACTTACCTTGGGGAAACTTCCATGCAGCCCCCAGCCCTGCACTTCGAAAGCCCGGGGCGGATTTCCTCTGGACGCGCACTGCGCGGGCAGGGCGCACCGCGGGGAGCGCAGAGTTTGGTGCCGCCTGCGGCGCGCGGGGAGACGGTGGAGACCTCGGAACCGTGGAACGGACAGGCAGCGGCGTGGGCAGCCTCTTGACTCCGGTGTCCCGCAGGCAAGCGGGTGGCAGCTCCCACGCCCCTCGCCGACATATAAACGCTTCTCCCCGCCCCGGGCCCGACCCTTCCCCGCCCCGGCGGCCCCGGGCCCAGCGCACGTCCCCCAGGAGGGGGGCGCAGCCTTAGGGAGGTGACGGAAGCGGGACTGGAGACATTATGAAGGCTGTTACTGCTCCACCGGCTTCTCCCCTCTTGAAACTCCTACCCTAAGGTCCCGACCGTGGGAGAAAAGAAAGAGGGGAAGTTGGGGCTTTCATGGTACGCGCCTTCTCTGTACCCCAAAGATAGGCAGGGCGTGCAGATCCGAGGCGCACTGAAGGCAGTAGCTCTGCTCCTACCGTTGGAACTGTTGTTCTTTGGCGGCTTTGCCTGTATTCTGGGGTCTTCTGGCAGAAGGCAGGATCTAGCAAGGGAGCCAGAGAGAGTCTTTGGGTTGTAGAAACTCCTCCCTTTTCCGTGGGAACGAAGACCGTGAGATTAAGGTCCAGAGCCACCACCTCATCCCACCCTCAACGCCCCCTACCTCCCCAGTTTCCCTACTCTCTGGTCCGAATTCAGGAGTCCCAAGGAGAATATCCTTGACTCTTTGTCTACTGACCTTTTTCTCTTCTCGCTATCTGTCCATTCACTCATCTATCTATTTTTTGTTGTTGTTGATTCCACAAATATTTGAGCACCTACTATGCACTACTATCAGATGCTTGGGGTAAAAAAAAAACAGCAAAGTCGACACCTTAGCTCACAGTTTGGTTAGGGAGATAGACAAGGAAACAAAAAGCAGTGTGGCAATTGCTGAATGGGGAAATGATGCCATAGGAACCCAGAAGAGGGGATCCCAACTCAACCTTGGAAGGCCAAAAGAAGCTTCTCTGAGGTAATTAAGTCCAAACTGAAATCCAAAGATGGAGCTAGACAGAAAAGCATGGAAAAGAGGGTCTCAGGCAAATGGAAGAGCAGCAGGGAAGAGAGAGGGAGCACTGACTTCTCCAGAGTAGCCAAGTTTGTGTGATTTTTAAAATTTGATATTTGTTGTCATCCTAAGGTAAGAAAATTTTAAAGACAGGTAAACTTGTAGGTGGTGGAACTGGATCTGAATGCAAGCAGACTAACCATGGAGTGTGCATTTACCAGCTACTCCGTATGTAGTATGATGTGTCAACTTGGCAAATGACAAGTTAAAAAACAGATTATTCACCAAGGAGTGGGGATTGCTCTGGAGTCTGGGGCATGACTCAAGTCTCTACTGGACCACTCATCAACTGCAAATTTGGCCAGGTCCTTAACCACAGCTCTTTGTCAATGGAATGTAAATAGTAAAGATGCTTTCCAGTGTCCCTCGTTGAGTGTCCTGGATCATGAGGCTTCATGTTCTGGTCCAGAGACTTGGTGGAACAGCACCAGGACAGGTGTCTTCAATATGGTGATTCCTCCATGGACTCCTTGGCTTTGCACAAGGAAAGCTGGGAGAACACTGGAACAACAACAACAACAACAAAAGAATGAACATTAGAACGTCTCAAATTATTATTGCTTTTATCTAAAACAAGTAATTCAAATTTTCACATTCTTTTTAAAAATGCACTTAACACAAGTATCCTTTTCTCATTCCAGGGTCACTACTGAAGAGGCAGATGTGAATTCTGGGTGGCAGGGTTCCTAGCAATTTGCCAGTCCCCCACCCAAAACTACTTTTGAAAGTGTATATTTTAAAATAGCCAGAAGAGAAGATTTGAAAGTCCCTACCACAAAGAAATGATAAAATGCTTGAGGTGATAGATATACTAAATACCCTGACTTGATCATTATACATTCTATGCATGAATTAAAATATCATAAGTGCCCCATAAACACACACAAATATTATCTGTCAACTAAAAAAATTTTAAGTGTGCCATACATGCAAGCAAGGCTTATTCTTTGATAGCCCTATAGGAAATCTAGTCTGACAGAAAGGCTTCTGGAAGTCAAGAGCTTGTGACCCATGGCCCCGCCAGGACAAATAATCATGTCAGTCCAATGGGAAGGTTTGGCAGCACTGCCTTAATAACCAGCTGAATCCTTTTGACATATTGTTCTGAGACATCTAAAAACACTCTATCTGATGCCCTGGACCTTCTGATGTCCAAACCAGTTTTCACAACTGGATCATACTTGGATAAGCACCCCAAGAACTAGGCTTCCTTTTACCCAGCCTAAAGCAAAAAGACAGGGAAAGAAGAGGGTTCCTTGGGTTTTATAAATGCAGGTGGTTGCCTGAAGTGACTCCAGTTTTTCCCATTGTGCAACCCGTGATTTCTGGACCAGAGAAATAATGGGCAAGTAGCCAGTGCTCTTTGCTGTCTTTCTGGAGCTTTTTCAGGAACATCTGTAACTTAAGAAAAAGTGTGGTGCCTTATGTGTCTGTATGAGTTTTTGAAGCCCATGAAACCTCACAAGCTGGTCATTAATTATATTAGAAGATAAGGGCAACCCTTAAGCTAAGCCATACAATGTCTACAATGACAGTGCTGGGGCTCTGTGAGCCTTGTCTATTCATAGTTCAAGCCTTTGGGAGAAAGTCAGCTACCATTAGCCTGGGAAGATTCATGTTGACTTCTGAAATGTCTCCAATTTTAACCCAGCTAGACCTTCATACTTTAGACCCACAAGCTACTAACGTTGGCTTTTATGTGGTATTCCAAAGTCCAATCTTCTCCTTCATTCATCTCAACCCATTCAACTCCTGCCAATTCATTCTTCATTCTTCTGACAGAGGGATCCTTCTAAACCACATATCTGATTAATTGCTCTACTGACTTCATGCTATATTGAGGTACCCACTACCTGGAGAGCAGAGCCCCCACTCAAGACCCCTTATCTCTCTCATTATTCCTTCTTGCCTCATTTCCTGCCATACTCCCACCACTACTTGTGAGTTCCAGTGCTTTCGTAATGACCCACATTACTTGATTTCATGCTGTTTTAATATGTCCTTACTATTGTTAAGGTTGTTTCCTCACCATTTATTTACTTATTCATTCAGCAAAACATATACAAGAGGACTTCAAAAAGTTCATGGAAAAGTGGAACTAAAAGATACAAATAAAAATACCAACTCTACTTTTCAACATAAGCTCCATCACATTGAAGACACTTATAAGTGATGATACCAGCCGTTTGGTCCATCCTTAAAGAACTGAGGGTCCTGGGAATTTAACCATGTCAGTGCAGTCTTTTTTACATTATTAACTGAAGAAAAGTGGGTGCCTGTTAAAGACTTTTTAAGATTAGGAAACACAAAAAAGTCAGAAGGAGCCAAATGAGAACTGTAAGTTGGGTGCCTAGTGATTTTCTGTCAAAAGTCACAAAATTGCCCTTGTTTACTGAGAGGAACGAGCAGGAGCATTGCTGCAGAGAAAAAATTTCTGATGAAGCTTTCTCAGCACTTTTCTGCTACAGCTTTGGCTAGCTTTCTCAAACACTCTCATAATAAGCAGATGTTATCATGCTTTGGCCCTCCAGAGAGTTACCAAGTAAAATGCCTTGAGCATTTCAGATACCTGTTGCCATGACCTTTCCTCTTTACCTGTCTGCTTTTGCTTTGACTAGACCACTTACACCTCTTGGTAGCCATTGTTTTGATTGTGTTTTGTCTTCAGGATTATATTTGTAAAGCCACGTTTCATCTCTCATTACAATTCGTTGAAGAAATCCTTCAGAATCTTGATTCCACTTGTTTAAAATTTCCATTGAAAGCTCTGCCTTGTTTGCAGCTGATCTGGGCACAATGGTTTTGGCATCCATTGAGTGGAAAGTTTACTCAACTTTAATTTTTCAGACAGAATTGTATAAGCTGAACCGATTAAGATGTCTATGGTTAGCCATTGTTTGTGCTGTTAATCAGTGGTCCTCTTCAATTAGGGCAAAACGAGATGAAGTTTTTCCTCACAAATTGATGTGAATGGTCACTGCTGTGAACTTCATTGTCAACATCATCTTGTCCTTTCTTAAAATGAGTTATCCATTTGTAAACTGCTGATTTCTTTAGGGCATTGTCCCCATAAACTTTCTGTAAAGCATCAGCAATGCCATTCTTCCACTGAAGCTTCACCATAAATACGATGTTTGTTTTTGCTTCAATTTTAGCAGAATTTGTGTTACTCTGTAGGGGCTCTTTTTAAACTGATGTCTTATCCTTTTTTAGTGCCTCAAACTAGATATTGTTCAGACATATTCTAACAAGTTAGTACAGTATTATTTTAATGTCCCAAAATTCTGAAATCCATGCTTAGTTTTTTTTTCATAAAACACATTTTCAATATTTTTGAAGACTCCTAATATATTGATTACTTACCATGGGCCAGGCACTGTGAGCCTCTATATTTTTGTAATAATAATCTTTACTTTTTCATCATAAATTAAAATAATATACTTAAGACTGACATCTTAATTGAGTTATTAAAATCCATTTGTTTATCAAACATGTATTAAACACCTACTATATGGCAGGTACTGTATTAGACACCAGGATGCATTCAGCCATTGTCTCTGCCCTTACGACCTCAGAGCCTAGTGTTGGAGATGGATAGGTAAGCTAATTATTAATGTGATAAAGGTCTGTATGCACTGGGCACCATGGGAGGAACCCTGGAAAGAAGATGATGCTTGGGATAAACGTTAGGCCTGGAGTTGAGTGAGGAAGGTTGGGAGACGTGAGGCATAATAAGAGAAGGAGAAACATATATGAAAGTATGGAAGTCAGTGGTGGCCAGAGTGCAGGGCAATGGAGGGGCATGGTATGAAATGAGGGTAGAGAAGTAAGCAGAGGCAGGACTGGATGTGAATGAATGAGAGGAGTCTAGGATAACTCTAAGGCGTCTGGCTCACAACTACATGTGGGCAACACCATTTACTGAGATAGTGAATATAGAAGGGGGAGGAGGTTTAAAAAGAAAGGCAGAAGAAAATAATTCTATTTTGAATATTTTGAGTTTGAGATGCCTGGGAGCTGTTCAAGGAATGACTCTCGGTGGCCGGATGGATTTGTATAGGTCTGAGGTTTGGGTGTGAGGCCTGAATCCATGGATTTGGATCATAACAAAATGGGTAGTTGAATCTACAGAAGTATATGAGGATACAGGGAGAGTTTATTCAGCCATCACTCATTGAATAGATATTCACTGAGCACCTACTGTGTGAGAAGCACTTGTTCTAGACCCTGAGGATACATCAGAGAACAAAGCAAACAAGATTCTTGTTCTTGTGGTGCTTGTGGGAGAAGGGTTGGGATCACCTTATTAGATGGCAGGGGAAGGTTACAATTTTCATGCAGTGTGAAGGTGACATTGGGCAAAGTCTCAAATGGAGGTGAGAAGTAAGTCCTGAGAGATATCTGAAGAAAGAGTGTTCCAGGAAGTAGGAACAGTCAATGCAAAGGCCCCGAGGCAGGAGCACAGTTGTGCATTTGAACAAAAAAAAGACCAGCGTGACTGAAACTGAGTGAGTGAAGGGAGAGGTAGGAGGGGGACATGAACTCAGAGACATAATGGAAGGGGCACAGGTTGTAGGGACAAGTGCAGTGTTTCAAGCAGAGACTGACATGTTATGACTCCTGTTTGTAAAGTATTACTGTTTATAAAAGATAATAGACTGTAGTAGGACAGGGTTTGACAGCAGAGTCCTGGGACATAGCTAACATTTAAGAGATGGGAAGAACAAAAGGGTGTTTAGGGAAGTGGGAAGGTGGACAGTCAAATCCAGGTGGTCTTAAGAATGTTAGGATCTTAAGATTCTCCAGGACTTGGTGACTAATTAGACATGGTGACTATTTATGACAGAAAGGCCGGCAAGGCAGGAGAAGACCAAGGAAAAGACCTGTCTAGAATGCTAGGGAGGATAGCTTTGTAGGAAGAGACTCATGGAAGGTGCCAAAGGCCATAGAGAGGTTAAAGAGGATAAAACTTGGGAAACATCCTTTGGACTTGGCAATGCAGGGAGCCCTGTGACTGCTGCTAGAGTGACTGGTGGAAGTGGAAGTCAGAGCCTCAGAGTGAAAGGCAGATAAAGAGAGTGGATTCTTTGAAGAAATATGGCCAAGAAAGGAAGATTGGGGTTCGTAACTTCACAAAGGCATGGTTTTGAGGGAATGCTCATCTTATTGATGATAGCACAGTTTTTCTCTCAAGTGTAAGACAAATGCAAGAGGACTTTTGTGTTCATAAAGAAAACCAGGGACAGAGAAAGAAGTGGGTAGATGTCTGCATTACAGGAATTTTGAGTCTGCACTTTCCAAGCTTTGCCATCTTTTTTTAATCTTTCAAAAGAGAATCTAGGAATAAGGATACATGAAACTGTCTTATTGCAAATAGGAAATGGGGAGAACTCTAGGACAATCTTATTGTGCCATAGGGGATTCTAAAGTAGTGGAGTAAAGCCCCAAGTAGGTGAATTTGGACCTATCACCACTGATGGATTGTTTAGCTTCTTTCTCCTACTCATGCTCATTTTCAGACGGAGTGGACTCAAGTTCTTATCACGTATGGGAAGGATGGAGAGATCAGTTAGGAAATAATCACCAAGGACTCTCCAAGCTACTTGCTCAGTTGAAAACAGTATTAATTTCACTACCTCTACTTTTGTACCCTCTGAGATTATATAGACTCTCAAAAATACCGATTTTCATTAACCTCATGATAACACAACTGAATTTTCTGCAAATGATTTTCAGACTATACCTGTCATATTGTGTCACGTATACTGGTGTAATTACTTACTTAAGGCATGCATTGGATCATTCTAAGATAAACAACCTTTTTAAAGCCCTGGGATTTTTGAATCAGCTATGAAGTCAGAGTAGAGGAAGACTTTTTTCCCCTATTCGGTCAAATTAATGTTAAGAAACTAGAGACATCAAGCCAAATTCTCTCATTGTGTGACTTTATACAATTCTTACACTATTATATGAGAGGCCAATTCGCTTTCATAGGCCATTAGGGTAAAATTAGGATTCAGCAGAAACTTTCTAAATTCTCTTCTCAAGATTGAATAGTAAGTACTTTATATTTAAAGGAACAGAAAACAAACCCCAAGATGGAGTAACATTTCTCTCACCTTCTCTAAGAAAACCCACTAGTTTCTATAATCAAACCAAACAGTAATCCTCCAAGAATGGAAAGTGAAGGACAGATGGACCTTGTGATCTGACCACTGAACCCAAAATTTATTTTGTTCGTGGGAGCTTTTCCTCATAGATGCTGCTATCACTCCCAAGTACCTCATCTTCAAGGAGAGGTTTGTAAGCCTTTCCTTAATTTCTGGATCACAACCAAGAAAGGCCAAGCCAGCCATACAGGACAGAGAAAGAATAATAACAACAACAATTAGTTAACCCCACGCATTAAGTATCTTTTACAGATGAGGAAACAGCCATAAAATGTCAAGGAAGCTGCCCAAGCATAATTGTTGAAATTGTTCAACAAGTACTAATTGTTGAAGCCAAGATTGAACTCAGACAATGAACAAGGAAGTGAATACAGGGATAATGTAAAAACAAGGAAGCAATCTGCCATACAAGGTATGGGTGGCAGATTGTATTTCCAAAATGGTTGCAGCAATATCTCCCATATCTTTGTCTCCACAATTCAATTAAACATCATTTTACTGTCCACTCTGTGCTAGTCACGGAGATTGTCCTAGTTTGCCCCCCGCCCAGTCCCACCCAAAAGCAGACCCTGAGACAAGGGCTCACGTGCAAGTAGTTTATGTGGGAGACGATCCTAGAAAATGCTTCTACAGGAGTAGGGAAATGAGACAGGAAAGGGAAGGCAGCCAGTGAAGAGTGTGTTATCGAACAAGTTGCCTCTCTGGACAACTAGAGCTCAGTCCCACTGGGGAATGCTGGGAAGAAGTGTAGGACGTGCTCAGTTATCTGTTAACAAAATCCCTGTTTGTTATTGGCTGAGATATGCTCTCAGAAGGATAAACTCTCTGGCAATGGGTCTTGCCCTGGGATCAGGCAGTGCAGCCTTTAGCATGTGGAATCCAGTGTGAAGAGGGGAGGAGCGTGGAGGCGGACTGAAAACATCTGCTGGAGAAAGCTTTCGAGTCTGCAAGTCTGCCCGCTGGGTCAGTGTGGGAGCTCCCAGGAGTGTAGAACAGCAACAACAAAGAATATTAGGACCCAACTGAGGCTCACATTACCCAAATCAAACGGAATATAAAATCCTCTTGAGGCTGTGTGCAGGCAAGCTCCCATACTGGCTTCTGTCACTTTTCTCTCTGAGTCTCTGCTTGCCCAAATTGTTCTTCCTCTCAGTTTCCCTTGTCCCTGCCAGTCCTTTGGGGCTCATGGTGGAAGTGGGGCAATGCCTGTCTGCCTGCATGAATGTTTCTTTAGAAACATTGACTGCTCTATCTGGGGAATATCGTATGGAAAAAGTCCCTTGTGTCGTTCAAAGAGGCTGTGTCATGTGCTTTGTGCAGCACGGGCCTCACTGGGGTTCCTTAACACTAGCTGCTGACGAGTTTAGTTGAGAATTATTGAAAAAGCACCATATTAAAACCTGGCTTACAATGTGATTTTCCTTTATCTGACAAGAATTGTTTATCTTGGATACATCTACAATAATTCAATATGCTGACTGGGTGCCTAACCCAGATGACCAAATCTCTCCAAATTGGAAATTAGAGAAAAGCTATGAGAAAGGCTTAAATTCATAATCTGAGTGCCTTAATTGTACGTATTTTCCTTTCACAAAGATGTGGATTGATCTATCATATTGCATTTTCCAAAGGTTTGTTCTGAGGGTTGGGGATGGCTTAAACAGCAGAAATTTGTTTTAAGGAATTGATTCCCATGGTTGTGGGGGTTGGCAATGTAAGATCTAGATGTCTGCTGGGTTGGTTTCTTCTGAGCCCGCTCCCCTTGGCTTGTAGATGGCCGCCTTCTCTCTGTGTATTCACGTGGTCTTCCCTCTATACCTGTCTGTGTCTATAGGACACCAGTCGTATTGGATTGGGCTCACCCTGATGACCTCATTTTATTTCCCTCTTTTAAAATTTTGCCTTTTAAATGCTTTTGCGTTTTGTTCCAGCTCTATTGAGGTATATTGACAAATAAAATTATATATATTTGAAGCGTACAGTGTGATGATTTGATATACATATATGTTGTGAAATGATTGCCACAATCAAGTTAATTAACACATCCATCACCACATATGGTTAACTTTTTTGTGTTTGTGAGAGAATGCTTAAAGTCTACTGTCAGCAAATTTCAAGTATGCAGTATTAGTATTACTAACTGTCACCATGCTGTGCATTGGATACTCAGAATGTATTCATCTTCTCACTGAAAATTTGTATCCCCTGACCAATATTTCCTAACTGTGCCACTCCCCTCAATCCCTGGCAATCACCATTCTCCTCTGTTTCTATGAGTCTGACTTTTTATTTCATTAGATTCCACACATAAATTATACTATACAGCATTTGTCTGTCGCCGTTTGGCTTATTTCACTTACCATAATGCAAAGTATCAATAATTTTATTCTATTTTGATTTTATGACATGATTCTGAGGTTCTCAAGAGTTTGTGAGGAAATTCCTTGGTAAAATACATGATACTCCTTGGAGGCAAACTTCATTTGCAGTTCCTTATCACTTTCCAATTATTTATGAGTTTAAGCTAAGGCAGATTTCTATAAAGTGACCACAAATATTAAATTTTATAAGGCTACAGTTTCACGTTAATAATAATGAAGTTTCAGGATTCAAAATTAAATGTTAAACAAGTAGGAAGTATAATCTCTCAATCTGCAAGCACATTATTTGCCTTTAAGCCTTATTTAAGGAAACATAGGTCAGTGGTTGTAGTATGTGTTTTAGGAAGCTTAACCGATTGTATTGGAAAGCTGGATCCTCCAATCCCTGTCCACACTAACTTTGCAGTTTTTCAAGAAGTATGAAAAGAGGAATGTTGAATTTGGAGGGAAACTTGTGGTAGGCACATAGAAAAAAAAAAAGCCAAGTGCAGTGGCTCACACCTGTAATCCCAGCACTTTGGGAGGCTGAAACGGGTGGATCACCTGAGGTCAGGAGTTCGAGACCAGCCTGGGCAACATGGCGAAACCCTGTCTCTACTAAAAATGCAAAAATTAGCCGAGTGTGGTGGCATGCCCCTGTAATCCCAGCTACTCGGGAGGCTGAGGCAGGAGAATCACTTGAACCCAGGAGGCGGAGGCTGCAGTGAGCCGAGATTGTACCACTGCACTCAAGCCTGGACAACAGAGCAAGACCACACCCATCTCAAAAAAAAAAATCAGACAAACTTTCTATTAAAATTTTATCTTAGGTTTTCATGAAAGAAGTGGAAGTTCTACTCTGAAGAAGCCCTACTCAGAATTTTTGATCAGCCAGAAGAGACTGTGTTATTTGAACTGTCTGAATGAAAGCCACATTTTAGGCATCTGGAGAAGCAGCAATCTCTATTGTTAAAAAAGAAACAATAAGTCCAGATTTTCAAAAGGGTATGATTCATCCACTTGAGAACATTTATGGCAATTACATGTTTCTAGCAGCTTTTAATACTCTAATAGTAGACTGCAATAAGACTAAGAAGGGCAATTAATAAATTTAAAGCCTCAGTGAACTTTATTACAGGAGCAATAGCAATTGACATTGCTCCAACTGGTTATTTTACTGTAAGAAAGATTATTGAATAAATATGTGCAAACATTTCAGTTTTTATTTCAGGGAAGCCCATTTAAGGAATAATTTGCATTTTTTCCCCGAATCTCAGAAAACTCACCCCTTCTTATATGTTATTTCCATCCCAAGGTTTCTTGTGCTGGACCGTTGTTATTAAACATTAGATATGGTATTTTCCTCCCACTCTTATCCCCAAAAACTCTGAAGAAGTTCAGACTTACTGTGATTAGTCATCCATCCTCTGGGATCTCTGGTGCAGAATTAAACATATACAGGCACATGAGCATGTACACTTACACGCCATGCAGAGATTTATATATGCATTCTTCCAATTTGCTGAAACTGTGGTTTCTGGGGACAAAAACCAGAAGTCTCCTACACAGTAGTTCCAGGAGTGATGGAGAAAAAATAGTTATGGCCATGTATAAAATCAAAATTTTCCTCAAGAAATGGAATAGTTAGTAAATGCATCCAGGCACAGAGCTTTATTTCCTATGACTTAAGCTTGGGGTTTAACTGGTCAGCACTTTGCTGAGAGCAGAGTCTCAGAGCACTATCTCCTCTTAATTACAATTTTGAGAACAGATGCAGAATTTGCTTGTTTAACTTCCCTCCTGCATGCACACTATACCCTACTCACCATTTCAGTGGATCCCACAAGTTAAATTCAGGAGGTAGGGAAGAAAAGATACAGGTTCATTGTTTTCCTGCTGAAATTGGGAACTCACGTAAGTTCTAAGCTGTGGATAATAATCTATTCCTGAGACAGAATTCTAAGACATGTCTCTTCATTTATTATTGCTAAGGCTCAGGTCAGTTTCTGTTGCTGTTGTGGCCAAGAGAACACTACGCAAAGGTGGAAAAATCTACAATTCCCACCCTAACTTCTTTGAGGAGAGGATTATTTCATAGGAGAGAACATTAATTAGCAATCACAAGTATACATCATGGTATCATTTCAATTTTTCCAGGACTGAAGCTTTTTCAATAGTATTTACGCTCAGAGTCATATTATGCTCTGAGCATATTTATGCTCAGAGTTTAAAAGCTTCAAGATTATCCAATCTAACTCCTTCCTTTTCCCTGTGAAGTAATGGAGGTGCAAGGAGGGCAAGCAAGGTCACCCAGCCAATGGTGGCAAGGCTAAGGCCAAACGACTGTTCCCCAGATCACTCCTCTAGGCCTCTTACTTTGTACCCGGCCACGCAGGGAAATATACAACCCAAAACAGCTTTTTTTTCCCGAGAAATCTTCCTCTAAGTTACCCATGATTGATACCTTTTTGGGAAACAAGTTAAAATTTCCCATAAGCAAATTCTTACCCTAGAAAGATATAGACTTTACTATGTATTTTAAAAACAAAGAGTCACAACTGGGCTTCTATGTTTTCATATATTTTGTTGAGAAATAAACTACCGGAGGAGACTAATACACAAGGTGAACAATGAGATTTTTCTAACAGAAACAATTGGTTCTCTTATTTTTTTGCTGTCCAAAGAAGAATAGCATTAAATTTTTTTGCTAAGTGAGTGTGTCCAACAGCTGGCTGCTCCACCAAAGATTTGTGCTCCACCTGCCATAGTGTGAATGTTTACTGGGAAGCTAGAAACCACAGTTCCCAGATTCCTTTCTGTCTGAATGTGGGCATATGATATTTTGGCCGATAGGAATGCAAGTGAAGGCAAGGCATTATTTCCAGACCAAAGAGCTTAAGAAGCAAATTTTACTTCTTCACATACTTTTTCACTTGCTCTTCTTCATAGACTAGCTGCATCCATAAGGGAAGCACAGCATCAGAAAATGGAAGAAGCATGCCTCCTGGAAGCCTCTAAGTTACCATGTAAAAGCTCGCTTACTCACCAAAATGTCAGCACTGGACTATGAATGAGAAATAAACTTCAATTTTTTACTCTGTATCTGTTATCTATCACAATGCAACAAACCACCCCAAAAGTTAGAGGCTTAAAATAGCAACAATCATGGATTTTACTCACAGAACTTTAATTTGGACAGGGCTCTGTAGGGGTAGTTTCCCTCTGCTCCACATAGCATCCTCTGTTGTAGATCTGCTGGGGGCTGGAGGGCTGACTTTCAAGGTGGTGTCTCAGATGGTGGGCAAGTAAGTGCTGGGAGTCAGCTGGGACCTGACCTGAGGGCTGGAGGTCCGCAGTTCCACTCCATTCTGGCCTCTTCACAGGCTGCTTGACTTCCTAATGGCATAGAGACTGAGTTCCAAGAGCAAATGTCCCAAGAGACAGAAAGTAGAAGCTAACACTTTTTCAAAGTTTGGGCCCAGAAACTGACACAATTTCACCACTGCCATAACTTATTTATCAAGCAGAGAGCCCAGATTCAAGGTATTAAGATGTAGGTGCCAGTTTTCAATAGGAAGAATGTTAAAGAATTTGGGGAGCATGTTTTGAAATCATCACTTAATCCTGTGATTTTTGAGATTTATATGTTACAGCAGCTAGTGTCACAGTTACAACTACTACAGTGACAGAAAAGAAAAAGCACCAGCTCTATAACTGTCACAGCTTATTTTAATTGTAGGTCACAAACCAACCAACCAACTAACAACAACAAAACTTGCAAGGGGTGGGGAGGGCTTTAACTTTTGCCAAATAACAAAATGAAGACACCTTTAGGTGGCTTCTGCAAAGCCCTATGATCTTAGCTTCAAAATATACTTGCAGATCTCTTATAAGTCAGCATAAGAAAGATGAACACTGCAGGATAAAAATGTGCAAAGGACATAAATAAATGATTTGCAGAAGGAGAAATGAATAGCCAATAGAGGAAAAAACTCATGGTCATTTGTTGGGTTGATGGCTCACGATCCATTTCCCCTTCCTGACAAGACTGATTTCCCTGGAGAAATTACCACTGTCTCTCTGGCTTATGGTTCAGTGGGATTGTAATCCGGGCACTGTGCATTCTTAGTCTAAGGGCAGACATGTGGCCCAAGCTAAGTCAACTGGAACTTGAATATTGAGAATGAAATAAAGAGACCAAAAATGTTGGGTTTCATCCCGTTCTTGTGACTATGTCCTGAGCAGACCCAGCCCAAGGATGCTCTTCTATATTGAGTCCAATGCTGAAGTGCCTGTTTCCTCAACTCCAGAAATGCCTGTCCTGCCCATTCCTAAACCTGGAAAATCTCCAGCCTCTCATTAATTCCGTGAGCCTCTGATGTCCTTTCCCTGCATTTCCCTTGATTTAACCCACCCAGAATTGTTTTCTGTTGCTCGTAATGAAAGAACATTGATCTGTACAAATGTTCACTTAAAACAATAATGAACTAAATACATATTAAGGCAGTAAGACACAATTTCACTTACAAAACTAGAAAGGATTCTTAAAAATGAATAGTACTATCCGGTTTTTTCAGGTTTTGGAAAAATGACTCTCTTTGTAATTACTGGTGGGAGTGTTAACAATTTCTCTGGAAGGCAAGGTAATATATATCAAAAAATTTAAATGTACACAAACTTTGATCCAGTCATATAAAAATTCTATGTAAAGACTTAGCTGCAAGTATATTTATTGCTGTACTGTTTATATTAAGGAAAAATAAAAATAATTACATAAATTGGGTAACCATATAATGTATCATTCAAAAGGGAATACTTTTGGGAGTAAAAAGAGGCTCTATTAATAATTATGCCAAGACAAGAAACATAAACCAAGCCTGTTTCAGGCACACCGGGATAACAGTGGTTACCTTGTATATAACCAATCAATGATCAGGAGTTAGTTATCATTATTTTAAGGAATATAAACAATTGGCTCATGTGATTGTGGAGGCTAGCAATCCAAACTCTGCAGGTTTCATAATGGTACCATACATCCAAACAACAGAATCAATCAAGCTATTAAAATATGAGTATAATAAAATTATTTATTTGGGTCTGTTTCTGGAACTTCGTACCATTTCAGTGATTTGCATGCTTATTTTTGCACCCACTTAAAAAATATTATGGTTTCATGGTATGTTTTAATGTGTGATAAAGCAAATCACCCAATATTAGTTTTTTACAATTCTTTCAGATAAAATGTATAATAGTTTGCCCAGTTTCCCCAACATGTTAAATTATATAACACTTTGGGAAGAAATTCATGTTTAAATATTCTGCTTTTTAAGAATATGGAATTTATCTATTTTTGGTTTCTTTCATATTGCTCAGTAGAATTTTATAGTTTCTCTACATTTCCTGTTATGTTTATTCCTGGGCATTTTACACTATTGTTCTTGTAAATACTGTTCCTTCATCATTGCTATATAAAAGGTTATAGATTTTTGTACGTCTATATAACCAATCCTACTGAGTAGCCTTTTCAATTATAATTAGAATTTCATTACATATTCCTCAGTTTTCCAAGTTGATAATCACATTATCTAAAAATAACAATTTTGCCTCTTTTTCCCATTTTGTTTTATTGTCTCATTATACTTGTTGGTATTTCTTGAATGAAGTTTGATAATAGCGGTGTTAACCAGCATCAAATCTATTTCTGATAATGTGCCATATTGCTTGTCTTCTTATATACTTCTTTCTCTTCAATTCAACTCCTTAACTTCCCCTACTAACTGTTACTTATTCTTCAGATCTTAGTTCACCTCCTCTTCTAGGACAAACAATTCTGATGGCCTGGACCAGTCCAGGTCTCCCTACTACATTCTCTTAGCATATCATGTACCCTTACGTCATTGTACTCATTACAGTTGTAATTTCAGGCTTATTTGCATAGTGATGTGACTAATGACTGTCTCCTCCATTCATCTGTAAACTTCATGAAATCTAAGAACTCATCATATTTTGCTCACAATGGTATATCTAGTACTTAGTAAAGGGCTAACATGGTTAATGCTCAATGAGTACTTATTGAATTAATTCTAGCATTTTATCATTAAGCATGATACTGCTCATCTTCTGTTACATTTTATCTATTTATCTATTAGTGATTTATTATTGAATTTTAGAAACTTTTTATGGTTTTATTAATTGTCCAGAATTGGAATGATTCCCTGCAATGCTCACATCATAAGAAGTCAGAGCAGCCATTCAAAAGTTGAAGTCTTGGAAGCTTTTCCTTTGAGATCTGCCATCTGTGACAACTTGGTGTACACTGGCCATAGAGTGGAAGGTTATCACATGCAGAGGCTCCAACTCTCCCTCACCACCAATCTTTGTCCCTCTGAGATTGTTTTTGCCAGACATTCTTCCCTTTGCTTCTGCGTAATTTTCTTGAGAAAGGGAATTCAGTGTTGGTTCTTCTTGGAAGCTGGTCCAAATTCAACAGTATGTTGAAAAAAAAAATCCTTGAAGTTTGGGTTATGCAGGATCATGTTAAGAGGATATTTTGGTAAATAACCACAGCTATACACATGGATCTTTCCACAGGAAGAAGTGTTGGAAGAAGGGACATTATAAGAGTAGCTCCACATTTTAGTGGAGCTAAAATGTGTAAGTATTTTAGGGCATTCTTAATTTAGAAATCCACCTGGAGAATCCCTGACATTAGTCACCCAGTCTTGGCTTGAATACCTTTTCTGCAAGAAAAGTTATTACCTCTCAAAATTTTATTGAACAGTAGAGAATTTAACATATTTTAATATATCAACACTAAATCTACCACCTTTGCTCAAATAGCCTCTATTACACACACCCATCAAGACACAGATTAAAATCTATACAAATTTTCTTAAATTTTGTGTAATTGAATACAATAAACATTTTTCCTTTGTGATTTACTTCATAGCTTTTGTGTAGAAATGATAGACAAAAAATAATGAATAGACAGTAGAATAGGGAGTACAAATGATCAATAAATACGTGAGGGTTCAACCTGATAGTAATCAAAAGTACGTACATTAAAATTATGAAATTTATTTGCATGTAAAATTGGCAAAGATAGAAAAAAAATAATATTGATTACTTGCTAGAGTGTAATATGATGAGTTAGCTCGTACACTGCAGATGAGAATGTAAACAATCACAATGATATGGTATTGATCAAGATCAAAACTTACTGTGATGGTTCATTTTATGTGTTAACTTGGTAACCCGTGGTAACCAGATATTTGGTGAAACATTCTAGATGTTTCTGTGAAGATGTTTTTTAGATGCAATTGACATTTAAATTGATAGACTTTGAGTAAAGTAGATTACTCTTCATGAAGTGGCTGAACCTCATTCAATCAGTTAAAAGCCTTAACAATAGAAAGAAGCCGGGCGTAGTGGCTCACGCCTGTAATCTCAGCACTTTGGGAGGCCGAGGCGGGCGGATCACGAGGTCAGGAGATCAAGACCATCCTGCCTAACACGGTGAGACCTCGTCTCTACTAAAAAAAAAAAATACAAAAAATTAGCTGGGCGTGGTGGCGGGCGCCTGTAGTCCCAGCTACTCAGGAGGCTGAGGCAGGAGAATGGCGTGAACCCAGGAGGCGGAGCTTGCAGTGAGCCGAGATCGCGCCACTGCTCTCCAGCCTGGGCGACAATGCGAGACTCTGTCTCAAAAAAAAAGAAAAGAAAGAAAGAAAAACAGAAAGAGAAAGAGAAAGAAAGAGAAAGAAAAGAAAAAAGAAAAAAGAAAGAAAAGAAAAAAGAAAAACTGGCCTCCCTGAAGAAGAGGGAATTCTGCCAACAGACTACCTCTGGGCTTAAACTAAGGCATACACTCTTCCCTTGGTCTCCAGCTTGCTAGCCTACCCTGCAGAGTTTGGATTTCTGGCATATATATATCATCCTAGTGGTTCTGTTTCTCTAGATATATATATACACACACACATATATGTACATATATATGTATATGTATGTATATATACGTACATATACATATATGTATATATACATATATGTATACATATATACATATGTACATACACATATACATATGTGTATATACACATATGTATATATGTATATACACATATGTGTATATACACATATGTATATATGTATATACACATATGTGTATATACACATATGTATATATGTATATACACATATGTGTATATACACATATGTATATATGTATATACACATATGTGTATATACACATATGTATATATGTATATATACATATGTGTATATATTTCATAATATGTATATATGTATATATACCTATATGTATATATTTCATATGTATATATGTATATATACCTATATGTATATACATTGTGTGTGTGTGTGTGTGTGTATATATATATATATATATATATATAAAATCCTAGTGGTTCTGTTTCTTTAGAGAACCCTGTCTAATATACTTAATAATACTTAGTAATACCATTTCTAAGAATCTATCCTAAGAAAATGATCATAAATATAGTATAAATTTGTACAACAAAATGGAAAAAACAGTAATGTTCAAAATCATTGAGAATAAATAGATAAATTATGCCATATATACCCATAAAAGGAATGAAGAGATGATACAGTCCACAATCACTGAAAATCTTGTGTTGGAATAATAGTTATTGATATGAGGATATGCTTATATGTGACATATCCATAGCCACATCCCTATCTCTGTGTCTATTTTTCTATATAGCTATCCATCTATATCTGTGCTGTCTAATGCAGTAGCCACTAACCACATGTGGCTCTTGAGCACTTAAAATGTGGCTAGTCAGAAAGTGGAACTGGAGTTTTAACTTAACTAAATTTTAATTAATTTAAAATTGTAAAAACCTTATGACCAATTTAGCTATTAAAAAATCTTTAAGGGTATTTGAAACAACTTGAGTATTTCAATCTGCTTTTTTTAACTTTAAATTTTATGAAACTGAAATACAGATAAGTATTTTTGATGAAAATTGAGTGCCCAAGATTAGAAAATTTGTAACTGTAAAATACATGGTAGATTTTAATGTCAATTGTATATATTGAATTTTTTTTTTTTTTGAGATGGCGTTTTGCTCTTGTCACACAGGCTGGAGTGCAATGGTGTGATCTCGTCTCCCTGCAACCTCTGCCTCCCAGGTTTAAGTGATTCTCAGCCTCCCAAGTAGCTGGGATTACAGGCACGTGTCACCACGCCCAGCTGATTTTTGTATTTCTAGTAGAGACGGGGTTTCACCATGTTGGCCAGATGTTTTCAATCTCTTGACCTCGTGTTCCTCCCACCTCAGCCTCCCAAAGTGCTGGGATTACAGGCATGAGCCACCATGCCTGGCCCTGAAGTTTTCTATAATGGATACACATTACTTTTATAAAGAAAAATATGATTTTTATAAGTTCATCTTTAGCAGCAAGAAGTAATAAAAATATTCCCAAGTGTGCCTTTCACAAAAATTCTACTTTTCAGGAATATGAGTTTCTGGACTATTGGGAAAATGACATTTCATTGAGCAGTACCTAAACTTAAAGGAAATCAGTTTGGATACACATGTGGGAACTTGAGGACATTTGTTAATATTTCAAATACAATTATTCAACACATTGTGTGAGAACTCTTTTCTTGAGCCATGAATAATTTATTACTATCCTGAATTCCGGCTGTGAGTTAATGTTTTCTTATTCCTGGGGGATCTTACAGTTAAATTTCAAAAAGATAAACTGTCTTTGGAAACTATGTGAAAGACTCATTTCCAATCAGCCCTGTTCTTGTGGAAAAGTCACACTTTGCCTAATGAAAGAGAATGTTTGCAATTTTTATTGACTTTTCCCCCTTTCGTTTGCAATGAAACAATTTGTAAGTTATCTTTGAGGAAGATTCCCTACCAGGAAGTTTCTGAAACTGAATTAGTCAGTTGAGTTAGTTGAATGATCACTCCCTATCATCCATCTTTCATTCCATACTATGGGGCAAAACACTGAGGTTCTACAGGGATTGCAGGGATTAAGCCTATGCTATTTGTGATTTTCTTCCTATGTGTGGTCCAGTTAACTCTAAGTAACACTCAAAATGGAAAACATGAACCACCATGCACTAGCATGGACTATGCATGGGTGGGTATTTCTATCTCTTTTTAAAGACAAAGGTACAGCTATTACAGAAATAATATGAAGGTTCTTCAAAAAAATTAAAAATCCAGCAATCCCACTTCTGGGTGTTTATCCAAAGGATATGAAACCAGTATGTTGAAGAGATGTCTGCACTCCAATGTTCATTGCAGCATTATTCACAATAGCCAATCATGAAATGCCCATCAATGGATGACTGGATTAAGAAAAATGTATATATACACAATGGAATACTATTCAGTCTTAGAAAAGAATCCTGTCATTTGTGACAACATCAATGAACCTGGAGGACATTATGTAAGCAAAATAAGTCAGATGCAGAAAGACAAACACCACATTATTTCTCTTATATGCGGAATCTAAAGAAGTTGAACTTACAGAAACAGAGTAAAATGATGGCTACTAGAGGCTAGGGGGTAGAGAGGGATTAGGGAGATGTTGGTCAAAGTGTTCAAAATTTCGGTTAGGGGAATAAGATCAATAGACCTGTTGCACATCATGATGACTATAGTTAATAACAATATATTATAAACTTGAAAATTGCTGAAAGTAGATTTTAAAGCATTTTTACTATTAAAAAACACCAACTATATGAGGTGCACCTGTTAATTAGTTTGATTTAGCCATTCTACAATGTACACATATTTCAAAAAATTATGTTGTACACCATTAATGTACAAAATTTTAATTTAAAAAATAAGTACATTTAAAATATAAAGACAATGAAGCTGAGTTTCAGATATATTAAGTGTGTAGTGACAGAAATGACATCTATCCACATCTTCCAAATTCCAATGCCAGTGTTTTTGTTTTACTTCAAGTATTTCACTAAACAACACATTATAATAGAAATATTTCCTGTGTATTGTACATCAGAAAATAAAGGAAGCTTTTTGCTCAACAAGGTGGATGACCACACACATCTATCTCTTCTTGGAATCCCTTTAAATACCAAAAAGAAAAAGAATTTTAATGTACAAGGACTGCTAAGGTTTGGGTGTTTGTCTCCTCCAAGCCTCATGTTGAAATTTGATCCCCAATGTTGGAGGTGGGGCCTAGTGAGAGGTGTTTGGGTCCTAAGGGTGGATTGCTCATGAATAGAATAATGCCTTATCTGAAGGGGGCTGTGGGGAGGAGTTCTTACTCTATTACTTCCTGTGAGAGCTGGTTATATAAAAAGCCTGGCACCTTTCCCTTTTCTTTCTTCTTTTTTTTTTTTTTTCTTAGATGGAGTCTCTGTTGCCCAGGCTGGAGTGCCGTGGCATGGTCTCAGCTCACTGCAACCTCTGCCTCCTGCACTCAAGTGATTCTCCTGCCTCAGCCTCCGGAGTAGCTGGGATTACAGGTGTCCACCACCATGCCCGGCAAATTTTTGTATTTTTAGTAGAGACAGGGTTTCACCATGTTGGCCAGACTGGTCTTGAACTCCTGACCCCAAGTGATCCTCCCACCTCAGCCTCCCAAAGTGCTGGGATTATAGGCGTAAGCCACCACGCCTGGCCCCTTTTCTCTTTTGCTTCCTCCCTCACTGGTAATCTCTGCACACACTGGCTCCCCTGACCTTCTACCATGAGTGGTAGCAGCATGAGGCCCTCACCAATGCAGATGCCCAATCTTGAACTTTCTAGCCATCAGAACTGTGAGCCAAATAAACATTTTTCCTTTATAAATGACCCAGCCTCAGGTATTACTTTTTAGCAACACAAATGGACTAAGACAAGGACAAAGAGAATGAGAGAACATAGAGCCACAAACAAGGATTAACACAAATTTTTCAAAGAGAGAAATCTGAGAGTGGTGACTTTCTTTCCCAGCAGAGTGGAGAAACCTATAAACTGTGTGTGTCAGAAAGAGATACAGAAACCAATCTGATTCTTCCTTTAGAACCCTGGAAAATCTCAGGATTTAAAACGGGGAGTACAGCAAAAGATGTGAGTTAAGTGTGAATCTGAGTATAGAGGGATTGATTGAAATCTTTCATGCAAAATGGTTGGGTTCTTAGGTTCTCCTTCTCTCTTCAGAGTTGGTTGACAAGCTCCTCCTGTACACAGAGTTTCTAATCAGTTATTTGCTGTCACACTGTTAAACGAAAACAGCCTGGGTTCATACACATTTGAGGAAAGTTTTCAATATGAGAAAGATACAAACCAACAGAATAAGCAAACTGGATAAACAGAAAATACAGAGAGAGCCAAGGAAATCACTAAGAAAGTGGAAAAACAAAAAAGAGAAAAGTAGAGAATAGGAAATAGAGGATAAGAAATTTGGGGAGGTCAATCTGGGATATTGAATTTTCAACCAATAAAGAAGAGGAAATTGTCAAAGAAATAATGTAAAAAAAATTTCAGGACCAAAGGACTTGACTTGCCAGATTGAAAAAGTTCTCCATGTGCCCATGTCAATTAATGAAAACAAAGGAACCACACTAAGATAGATCCTAATGAATATTAGTTCACTTATTGAACTAAATTTGGTGAATAAATTTTAGGACACCAGAGATAAATACATGATACTGAAAGTTTGTGGTGGGGGACACTTCACATACAAAGAAATGGAAATTAAAGTGGCATTAGACTTCTTAAACCAACATTGGAAACTATAATGACATAGAGCAGTGCGGTCAATAATTTGGAGGCAGCTGATGCTCAACATATACTTTTTTGTTTGTTTTGAGATGGAGTCTCACTCTGTCACCCAGGCTAGAGTGCAGTGGCATAATCTCAGCTCACTGCAACCTCCACCTCTCCATTTCAAGCGATTCTCCTGCCTCAGCCTCCCGAGTAGCTGGGATTATAGGTGTGCACCACCACACTCAGCTAACTTTTATATTTTTAGTAAAGACAGGTTTTGCCATGTTGGGCAGCTGGTCTCAAACTCCTGGCCTCAAATGATCTGCCTGCCTTGGCCTCCCAAAGTGCTGGGATTACAGGTATAGGTCACCGTGACTGGCCTCAACACAGAATTTTATCCCAGATAAATCATGTATTAGTTTCCTGTGGCTTCTACAACAAAGCACCACAAACTGGGTAGCTTAAAACAACAGAAATTTACTCTCTCACAGTTATGGAGGCCAGAAGTCCAAAATCAAGGTGTCAGCAGAGTTGATGTTTTTTTTAGAGGCTATGAGGGAGAATCTGTTCCATGTTTCTCTCCAGGCTTCTGGTAGTTGTCAGCAATCCTCAGTGTTGTTCCTTGGCCTGTAGATGTATCACTCCAGTCTCCGCCTCTGCCTTCACATGGCCCTCTTTCCTCTGTCTGTGTCTCTGAGTCTTTATAAGGCCTTCTTATGCGGACACCAGTCATAGGATTTAGAGCCCACCCTAATTCAGTATGACCTTATCTTACCTTAACTAATTACATCTGTGGAGATCCTATTTCCAAATAAGGTCACATTCTGAGGTTCTTGGTGGATGTAAATTTTGGGGGAACACTCGTCAATCACGTATAAACTCTCAACCAAGTGTGAGGGCAGAATAAAGATATTTTGGGGCAGGTAAGTACTGAAAAACTATCCTTGCCATGCAATGCACTGTTTTTTAAGGAAGTTACTGGAGAATGTACTTAAAGTAAGTAAATAAACTAAGAAAAAGCAAAACATGAGACGAGGAAATAGCGAACTAATAAGGAAACCAGAATTAAAAGTTCATGCAGAGGAGAATGGGGAACTCTGGGAGTGAAGTCTTCAAGGGCAAGGGAAATAAAATGCTAAGTATTTGATACCTTAAAGTATTTAGAAATTAAAATTGACAGTTGTTGGATAGAGCTGAAACTCTAAGATAAAACAGAAGTTCAATGAGAAAGTGAACATATTCACAGTCCCTTCTTGGATCAATATCAGACAATATGTATATAGTTACAAAATAGCAACCCTAACTCTTAACAAAAACTTAAGGGACTATATCAAGAAGGTGAGAATGGATAATTATGCTAGGTAAATTGCTAAATATTAATCCTAATAGAAAGTCAGCAGATAATGTCTAAAATATGATACAAAATTGCAGTATTGGCATGTTATTTAGAAATAGGAAGGTAAAAATTGAAGAAACTCATAAATGTATAATACGTTGTTTTAGTCCATTTGGCCTGCCGTAACAAAATACCATAGACTGGGAAGCATATGAACAGGGAAATTTATTTCTTGCAGTTGTAGAGGCAGGAAAGTCCAAGATCAACATGTCAACAGCTTGGGTATCTGGTGGGAGCCTGCTTTCTCATAGATGGTGCCTTCTGTCTATATCCTTGTATGGTAGAAGAGACAAATTCCCTCAGGCCTCTTTTATAAGGGCACTAGTCCCATTCATGAAGACAGATCTAATTACCACCCCCTCCCCCACATGGTCTCAGTTTCTAATACCATCACCTTGCGGGTTACAGTTTCAAGGCATGAATTTTGGGGGACATGAATATTCAGAACTTAGCATGTGGTAACTTCTGGAAAGTAGAGGTGGGCAGGAGAAGAAAGGTAGTGGCTATCTTTCATTATGAACTTTTTAGTATTGGAGTTTAAAACATGTTTGAGCAAGTAATATTTTTATAGCAACACAGATTAAAGAAATATAATACACATAAGAATTATCTAAAGAGTGTGTTAAAATGCAGCTTCTGTGTTCATATCTAGATATTCTAATTTAGTCAGTCTGAAGGCACCTGTGCAGTGGTGCAATCTCGGCTTACTGCAATCTCTGCCTCCTGGGTTCAAGTGATTCTCCTGCCTCAGCCTCCTGAGTAGCTGGGACTACAGGTACACACCACCTCACCTGGCTAATTTTTGTACTTTTAGTAGAGACAGGGTTTCACCGTGTTGGCCAGGCTGGTCTCGATCTCCTGACCTTGTGATCCACCTGCCTCGGCCTCCCAAAGTGCTCGGATTAGAGGCATGAGCCACTGCACCTGGCCGGGAACATGCATTTTAACAAGGCTGAGGAAATTCTGATGGAGGTGGTCCCTGAACCCCACTTTGAGAAACACTTGTCTAGAAAACAGCCACAACATTGTGGGGACATTAGCTTGAGCTGGTTTCTGGTAGAGGTCAAGCAAGTTGGAGTCTATGTTAGTTGTATCCATCCCCTACTGGTATTGGGGTAAAACAGTGTTGCATGCTAAAACCCTGCTTAATCAAAGGTTATTCTAACTTTAAGAGTGAGTGATGAAACAAGAAACCTAAATGCTGATGTCAGGACATGTTTTCAGGCAGCTGTTAAGTCTTCTGCCCAGGCAGGTTGCTAACATTGGCAGAAGCCATGGGGACAGTCACTCCAGTGTTCGTAGGGGGCTGAACCAGCCTGCTGCATTATAGAAGGCATATGCAAAAGGACTGCCATGGATCCTGCTCCACCATGCGATCAGCCCGTTGCTATGCAATTACTATGAGTTTGAAGGTGCCGGGAGTCAGATCCCAGTTGGTGTGGAGGAGAACCTTAGAAATGTTTCCAATAGGAATGCTGAAGTGAAAACTAGTGCTGAAATCTGCTACTTACACAGCAACAGAAGTGTCACTGTGACCGCAAGTCTACTGTAAAAGGTTTAAAACGCCATGATTAGCCCTCTCCAAAATTCTACACGACCCTGTTCCTTAGCCTACCCTGAAGGCTATTGCCAGCTTTCCAATGGAGTCATTAGGGATGGTTCCCAACTTCTGCCGAGGAGCTGCTGTGAGCCAGACACTATATAAAGCACCTTAATGTGCCAAATCGCACAAAACCAATTTCACAGATGAGAAAAATGGAGGTTCCAAAAAGTTAAACCACAAGTCCAGCATCACATAACCAGCATGTGGTAGAACAAGTTTTACTCTTTCCATAATTCCAAATTGCATCTTGGACACATCTTTAAGCCTACGGGACATCAGATAACAGATAATATCATTAGCCTCAGGCTGCAGAATGTGGTCCATTTATCACTGCAAATGTGTTCACGGAATGGAATTCCTGCTGACCTGGCATAAGGACGCCCACGCAGGCACTGCAGAGATTGCTGAACACAGCAACACTGCACAAGAGACGTGATGGAGCTCCTGCGAGAGTCACCAAAACACTGACATAGCTCTGTGGCAGCAATGGATGGCCAGGAAACAGCCACACAACCCAGGGGAGGGGATGAAGTGGTAAAATAGAGGGTTATAGGAAGAGGGGCTGATTTTAAACAAAGACCAGTTCTTAAGATTAAGTCACTAATTGAAGAGTATCAGAAAGTAGCTGTAGACACCAAAGAAAGTAGTAAATTCTTAATCACAGCATTCATAATATGAGGGAATTTTAAGGACGACTAGCCCAGTTCCCTCATTTTACTGAAAATGAGGATGAAGAGGAAGTAGATAATAAGAGTTAATGTTATTTAAGTACCTTCCATATGTCAGGTATTGTGCTAGGTATTATTTAATCCGATGAGGTTGGTAAAAATTGTATCCCCATTTTGATGATGAGGAAGTCAAGGCCCAGAGAAATGGAGATTCATTCAAAGTGGCACAGCTATTTAGGGGTAGAGGTAGGGTTGGGATTCAAGCACCTGATGCCTAATCCTGGCTATTTTTCTCTGTACTGCATAGCCAGTTTCTCTTCCAACGAGAATGCATGCAAATAGTCTTTGGAAGAACCAGGCAAATCCACACCTAAATCCCTCTTTACCTTGGATTGTATGACCATCTCTCTCTGAGTTCAGGATCCCTCATGAAAGGAATGGAGATAAGGATATCTTACTCTTGCTTTTGTTGTCAGCATTAGATGAGATAATGTACATAAAGTACTTACTATACTATCTGGCACATAGTAAGAACTCAGTAGATGTGTTTTTTTTCTTTCCCCCCTTCCTCTTGCCTTAGGTGTGGAAGTAGTATCTATTTTATCTTTTTAGTATTTGTCCTTTTAGATAGTAGTCATTATATGCTATATTGATCTTCCAGAGAGATTGACTGTATATTTACACACATATCAGGGCACACATAATGAGGTATTTGTAGGAATATGTAAAAATAATTTTAACAAATTTAATGCCAAAATGGCTCCTTTGCCTGTATTCCAAATATAATTAAGTTGTGCTTAGCACTGGAGTCACCGGGAGCTTTAAAAATGCTGTGTCCAGTCTGCATTCCACAGCACTTCTGTCAGGATCCCAGGGGTGAGATGCAGGCATTAGTAGTTTAAAAATCTCCTCAAGTGATTCTAGCAAATTACTAAATCAGAAACTCTGGGGTGAGGCCTAAAAATGTATATTTTAATAAGCCCTCCAGGGGATTCTGATACACACTCAAGTTTGAGAACCACTGGTCTAGACACCCAGTCTTCTCCTCTCCCTTATCTTCTGTCCAAACCCATCGATGATCATATGCTAATTTTATCTTTTAAGTATTTTCCTCATATGTCAACTAATTTCCATCCTGAGCACCACTATCCATTCTTGCCCAGATAACTGGTTACCCTGTGACTAGTTTTTCTTCCCTCCAGTTCCCTCTTCTTTCAGCAGCCAGTGTGAGCCACAATAAATGTCTAACCACGTCTCTTCTCTGTCCTCAGGGGCAGCCCAGTACCTCCAAAATAAAATCTAAACTCTTCAGCATGGTGCACAAGGCCCTCTGCGGCTGGCTTGGGCTAAGCTCTCTATCCTCCTCTCCTGTCACTCCTTGACTCCATTTCAGCAATATAGAATCGGTACAGTCACTCCCTCTTCCCCATGAACGCAACAGGGCTTATGGTTTAAACAAAAATCTACTTAGGAATGAAGAGCCAGGAGGCCAGGAGAGGCTCTTCCTTCATTCTGGGTTGCCTATCTTATTTTTTCCTGGATAAATTTTATCTAGTCATTTTCATTGAGATCAAAGGAACATCCTTGAAGAAACCCTCTCTGGGTTCCCAGTCTGGACTGAGTCTTTCTCTATATCCCCACGCCACTCTCTGTATATCTTCACCTTAGCACCACTACATGAAATTAAATGATCTCTTTCTGGGTCGGTCACTCCAGCTAGACCATGATTTCAAGGCACATGCCACCTTTTATTGAGCTTTCTATTCCCTGCCGCTGGCACAATGAATGTTATATGGTAGATACCCAATATACTATGCCATTCAGAACTAAAAATCTATAAAATACATCTACTCATTCACAGAGCTCCAAGCAAATGAATTCTAGGCCAGCACTTTGCAAACTTAGATGTGCATATGAATCACCTGGAGATCTTGCTGGAATGCAGATTCTGATCCAGTAGACTTGGAAAGGAGCCCAGAGACTCTGCATTTCTGACAATCTCTCAGGTCATGCTGGTGCTCCCAGTTCAAGGACCACTAGCTATAATATGATTAGCTAGCACTGTGGCCATCCAAAGCCATGAAACACAAGGTGCTTGTAGATCAATTTATGTCATACTAGAAAAACTTTTTGTATTGCAGAAATACCAGCCGCTGAGAGGAAAAAAGATAATTTGTGTTGTTTACTAGTCTATTCTTATGATATCCATCATTCTGGACTCTTATCTATTCTTTGAAAGAGATTACAAATAGTCCTCTTGTGAGCCAGTCCTCTGCACAGCTATTGTTCCCAACACAGGAGGTGAGAACTTCCTTATCATCAGCAGCCTTTGTGTGGAGGGCAACTCCTAGTTATTGCAGGATTTACAATCCAAATTCATCTTGGGAAGTAGAACCTGTGGAGAAGGAGAGAGGCCAACAGGATTTTACCCAGGCTCAGCAAGACAGGGCTTATTCATTCATCCCTTCCTCTATGAATAAAAATAGGTGTTGAACGTCTATTAAGTTCCTAGTGTTCCACAAAGTGAGAGAGTCTAGGGTTTTCAAGGTGGATAATGCACATCTAGAGAAGAAATTTGGTCAAAAGAAAATCCCAGGGTTCTGGGGCTGGATCTCTGGTAATCTTGCAGTGGGAGAGGTGTTCTGCAAGTACAGACAGGTTACTCTAGAAAGATGGAAAAGTGTTCCAATTTAGGGAGGCTTACTGGAGCTGCACAAACTTTCAACTGTGCCTATTCAAATTTTCACCCCCACTGCTTACACTCAGATAAGATTTAGAAATTAGGTTTGAAATGTCAACTGCAGTTTTCCAGAGATATCACAGGATTCTTAGTCATCTGTAATTCTGACCAGCTGTTCTACAGCATATTTTCTCATGTCACGTAAGGCTGCAGTGGGTTGGCCATGGGTCATTTCTGCACAGAACTCTGAAAAATGGGTGCTTAATGCATATACTATTGCTCCTTTTTGAGGGCATGCAGTTTTGCTTACAGATCATCCCATATTCAAATTGGATATTGTGGAATGGTTCAAGATTTTTTTTGTAATTTGCTATTTTTAAAGGCTTTTTTAAAAAGGCACTTCAGCCACTCACCACACTTGCTGTGGTCTCAAATTTCCAATCACACTGGCCTCCATACAAGCCAATTTCTCCACTTACCTTAGTGCACAGACACACAGCTCTTTCTAGCTTTTGTTTTCTCATCATTGCTCATGCCAGTTCCCCTCACTGCCTTCAAACCAAACCATATTTATCCTTCAAGGCGAGTTCGTTCACTCATTCATCAAATCCTTATTGCGTGCCTTTTAAGTGCCAGGCACCATCCTGGGTACTGGGAGCACAGCGATAAACAAGATGGAGAAGCTCACTTCAGTGCCTCTTGAGGATATTGACAAATGAATGGGCCATTATAACTCTCCCTAATGAGGGCCCAGAGGGAGAGATCCGGGTACTAGGAGAATATACAGTGTATATTCTAACTGTATATGGCAATCCCAGCCCCACTGTATGGAAGGTATTCCTAAGCAGGTGAGAGCCAGCATGGAAGAATAAATAGGAGGTAGAGAGCGGAAGAGGTTCCTTGCAGTGAGAACAGATTGGGCTGGAAAGGCGAGCAAAGGTCAGATTAGAAACTGACCTATAGAAACTCCTTCTAAGACATGAAAGGATTTCTCATTGTCATTATGAAGAAACTGGAAGGAAAGCATTGTGAGCCTTTAAGTGGGGACCTGGTGTGAATCCCATTTATTCTTTGAAGTCTTCTTCAATTATTTAAATCCCAGGTGATTTTTTTTCCTTCTTTGATTTCCAAAGCACTTACTGACTGTACTTAGCAGCCTGACTCTGAATTCATGCACTGTATTTTTATTAACCTTTGTTCATTCTCTGATGTTGGTTGTTGACATTTTGTGCCCACAGCGCACATTCAGGTGTTGTATTTTTTTCTTGAATGCCCAAAATTTATTTATTTATTTATGTATTTATTTTTTTGAGACGTAGTCTCGCTCTGTCACCCATGCTGGAGTGCAGTGGCACGATCTCGGCTCACTGCAAGCTCTGCTTCCCGGGTACACGCCATTCTCCTGCCTCAGCCTCCTGAGTACCTGGGACTACAGGTGTCCGCCACCACGCCTGGCTAATTTTTTGTATTTTTAGTAGAGATGGGGTTTCACCATGTTAGCCAGGATGGTCTCTATCTCCTGACCTTGTGATCCGCCCACCTCGGCCTCCCAAAGTGCTGGGATTACAGGCGTGAGCCACCGCGCCCGGCCCCAAAATTTATTTTAAAGCTCCCTGTATTTACAGTGTAATTGCTCCTCCAATGAAACAATGCCACTTAATATCACCCATCTTAGCTCTTATGTGCATCAAATTGTGCTGTACTCTGTGCAACCTCAAATGCCCAGACATAAAATTTTTACGCTGTTGGTGGGACTGTAAACTAGTTCAACCATTGTGGAAGTCAGTGTGGCAATTCCTCAGGGATCTAGAACTAGAAATACCATTTGACCCAGCCATCCCATTACTGGGTATATACCCAAAGGACTATAAAATATGCTGCTATAAAGACACATGCACACGTATGTTTATTACGGCACTATTCACAATAGCAAAGACTTGGAACCAACCCAAATGTCCCACAATGATAGACTGGATTAAGAAAATGTGGCACACATACACCATGGAATACTATGCAGCCATAAAAAAGGATGAGTTCTTGTCCTTTGTAGGGACATGGATGAAGCTGGAAACCATCATTCTCAGCAAACTATCGCAAGGACAAAAAACCAAACACCGCCATGTTCTCACTCATAGGTGGGAATTGAACAATGAGAACACTTGGACACAGGAAGGGGAACATCACACACTGGGGCCTGTTGTGGGATGGGGGGAAGGGGGAGGGATAGCACTAGGAGTTATACCTAATGTTAAATGACGAGTTAATGGGTGCAGCACACCAACATGGCACATGTATGCATACGTAATAAACCCGCACATTGTGCACATGTACCCTAAAACTTAAAGCATAATAAAAAAAGAAAAAAATTAATTTCATACATTGATCCAACATTATGTGGCATATCAGTGAAGGGGACAAGTTTCCCAGGTGCTCAATGTTCAAGAAGAACCATTATCTCAGAAGGTTACCTAACTCTAATGACCTTGACTTAGTGCAAACTCCTCAAGGTCAAGTAGAGTTATCTAATTTAAAAAAAAATCCCTCTCAATTCCTAACATAGTCCTGGATGTAGCACAAGGATTTACTTGAATTTTGCATTTTTATTACTTAATTTACTCTTTTAAATTATGAAATGTCAGGCACTGAAATATGTAGAGAATAATAGTAAGGAATGTACATCTTTTCCATCACCCAGCTTAAGAAATAAAACATTATGATGAAAATTGGACCCCCACTTTACCTCTTACCACTGAAAGATAACCGCTGTCTTGAATCTGGTGTTTGTCATCCCTACATATGCCTTTGTGTTTTCACTCCAGTTGTCAGTAGCCATAAACATTATGTGGTATTGCTTCTCAGGTTTTAAAATGTATAAGTGATGTCATAATGTATCCATCTGCAACTCTTTCTGGTTCAATATTATCTTTGAGATTTGTCTCTGTTTGTAGATACAGCTCCAGTTTATCAATTTAGCTGCTCTATCATATGCTATTGTATGAGTAGACCACATTAGGATGTTCATGTTGGCTTCAGCTCCTCTCTAAAACACACAGTGCTGCAGTGAACATGTTTGTATTTGGTTCCTGGCGTACATATGTGAGAGCTTCTCACACGTAGCTGTAGAGAGCTAGTAGTGGGATTGCTGGGTTTTAGGATACGTGTATCATCCATCTAACTAAATATTGCTACAGTGCTGTTTAAACAATTTACACCCCCATCAGCAGAGGATTAGTTCCTGTGGCTTCACATTCTTGATAATCATGTCATTTTCAGATTTAGGTATCTGATGTATTCTTCATGCATGTGTTTACACACACACACACACACACACACGCACACACACACCTACACTTATCAGGGTTCTTAGGGGAAAACAAAACTTTACTAAACGAGTAGAGTTGAATATGGAACTTCCCAAAGAGCAATAAATGGTTACTATAAAAATCTCAGCAACTTAGAATTAATTGGATTATTTTTAAATTATGCAAATAACAACAGTAAGGTCAAGAAAAATTACATGGGAAAAGTACAAAATAGCCTATGGTATTATCCCATTAACACAGTAATTTCATTTTTTAATATAATAGATGCTCATTGACTTGGTAATTACCTGTTGCCTTAGCCAAACTGAATGATTTTTAAAACTAATTCACTGTTGGCTAATTTTACATTTTATGTAAATGTTCCAAATATATTTAGTCCTCTACTGGTGCTCTATTAGGGTTGCGTTAGACTGTAGTTAAATAATAATGAACAGAACAAACTTCCAAGTCAGACTTGTTTTTATTTTAGAAATTATCTCTTGCTACATTGTAATTCCCAAGAACATCTCTGGTCATATAGAGTATCTGTGCTTTTCCGTAATTCTTTTGCTGCAAAAATTCAGTATACACAAAGCAAAGCTGCTAAAATTTAAACAAAAGATTACAGCAAAAAATATGGTTCATAAAATTAGCCTCTTATCACTTTTTTCTTTTTCACCAATTCCATTCTTTTGTCAATGTCCTGGTGAAGAGAAAGCATTAACTATGGGTCATAGCAGCCTGACAGGTGGGTTTTAGAAGACAATCACTGCTAGATGAAATGTTAGGGTCACCCCAGAACCGATGACATGGGCATGGCTTTCCAGTTTTAAGAATTAGTAGAAGATATTCCTAGGAAATTCCAATTCCAAATGCTTTTAGAGGAGTCCAATCTGAGATACAGATGTGTTGAAAATAATGACAATCTTTTACAGGCAGATACATCATCAAAATTGATGCCTGAACTGTGCAGAGCTTTCAAAGAAAAGTTAACTCTTATAGGTCGGTTTCCCCAGTTCTCAGGAGAAATGAAATCATTCCTGGTTTGTCAGGTCTTCTTACTGATGTCTTCACTCCGAAAATTCTTCTCCTCAAGATTTGAGATGGAGAACAAATTTAGCATGCTATTAGCCAATTGTTTTTGTGAAAAGTCCCTGTCATTTACCACAGTACCTCTAACAGATGATTATACATTCTGGTTAGAACCACATGGGATTATACATGTCAGTGGAGCTATCTTCTTTTCTCCTATGATGACCTTGTATCTTCACCATCTGCAAAATATAACAATATTCACTGCTTTTAATGTCATTGTATTTGTTCAAAATGTTCCTCCAGGGCCTACTCCTTTATATGCCACATATAAAACAAACACAATATTTTTGTCATTTTCAATGGTCAAAATAGAAGTCCAGCTCAGGGTGATGTGATAATAGATATAAATGAGCAATGTATAAGGAGAATCATAGACATAATTCTTCCTGGAAGAATGTTGGTACATTAATGATTTGACATTCCATGTTTAGCAAATTTAGTGGCTGGTATTATTAAACAGGTGCTTGAAGGGGTGTGCAATAGACAATATCAAGGTTTTGCCCAGAATCCCCCTAATCTTTCTTTTTTAACATTAATTTCTAGGACAATATTCTTTCGTTTTCTGTCTTCCCCTTCTGGGCCTCCCTCCCCAACCATTGCCATGTGAGCTTTTGCTCCCAACATCAGCACCTATTATTCTTTGAGGACTGCTGTTAGCTACTTGACCTGCTTTAACTACATGCACTATGAGCACCTGGAGTTTACATTCTCTCCACAGCAGCTCTTGACCAATCAATAACCTAGGAGGAAGTAAGAAAGCCCAACTTTCTCTTTATCCAATTTCCCAGTCTGTGTCTTTTAATTGGGGCATTTAGCCTGTTTACATTTAAGGTTAATATTGTTGTGTGCGAATTTGATCCTGTCATTATGATGCTAGCTGGTTATTTTGCCCATTAGTTGACACAGCTTCTTCATAGTGTCGATGGTCTTTACAATTTGTTGTTTTTTGCAGCGGCTGGTACTGGTTTTTTCTTTCCACATTTAGTGCTTCCTTCAGGAGCTCTTGTAAGGCAGGCCTGGTGGTGACAAAATCTCTCAGCATTTTCTTGTCTGTTAAGGATTTTATTTCTCCTTCGCTTATAAAGCTTAGTTTGGCTAGATATGAAATTCAGGGTTGAAAATTCTTTTCTTTAACAATGTTGAATATTGGCCCCCACTCTCTTCTGGCTTGTAGGGTTTCTGCAGAGAGATCTGCTGTTAGTCTGATGGGCTTCCCTTTGTGGGTAACCCAACTTTTCTCTCTGGCTGCCCTTAACATATTTTCCTTCATTTCAACCTTGGTGAACTGATAAGCAACTTCAGCAAAGTCTCAGGATACAAAATCAATGTGCAAAAATCACAAGCATTTCTTTACACCAACAATAGGCAAGCAGAGAGCCAAATCATGAGTGAACTCACATTCACGATTGCTACAAAGAGAAAAAGATACCTAAGAATACAACTTACAAGGGATGTGAAGGACGTCTTCAAGGAGAACTACAAACCACTGCTCAAGGAAATAAGAGAGAAGACAAATAAATGGAAAAACATTGCATGCTCAGGGATAGGAAGAATCAATATCGTGAAAATGGCCATACTGACCAAAGTAATTTATAGATTCAATGCTATCCCCATCAAGCTACCATTGACTTTCTTCACAGAATTAGAAAAAAACTACTTTAAATTTCATATGAAACAAAAAAGAGCCCAAATAGCCAAGACAACCCTAAGCAAAAAGAACAAAGCTGGAGGCATCATGCTGCCTGACTTCAAACTATACTACAAGGCTACAGTAACCAAAACAGCATGGTATTGGTATCAACACAGATATATAGACCAATGGAACAGAACAGAGGCCTCAGAAATAATGCCATGCATCTACAACCATCTGATCTTTGACAAACCTGACAAAAACAAGAAATGGGGAAAGGATCTCCTATTCGTTAAATGGTGTTGGAAAACTGGCTAGCCATATGCAGAAAACTGAAACTGGACCCTTTCCTTATACTTTATACAAAAATTAACTCAAGATGGATTGAAGATTTAAATGTAAGACCTAAAACCAGAAAAACCCTAGAAGAAAACCTAGGCAATACCATTCAGGACATAGGTATGGGCAAAGACTTCATGACTAAAACACCAAAAGCAATTGCAACAAAAGCCAAAATTGACAAATGGAATCTAATTAAACTAAACAGCATCTGCACAGCAAAAGAAACTATCATCAGAGTGAACAGGCAACCTACAGAATGGGAGAAAATTTTTGCAATCTATCCATCTGACAAAGGGCTAATACCTAGAATCTATGAGGAACTTAAACAAATTTACAATTTAAAAAAACAACCCCATTAAAAAGTAGGCAAAGGATATGAGCAGACACTTCTCAAAAGAAGACATTTATGCAGCCAACAAACAAATGAAAAAAAGGCTCATCATCACTGATCATTAGAGAAATGCAAATCAAAACCACAATGAGATACTATCTCACGCCAGTTAGATTGGTGATCATTAAAAAGTTAGGAAACAACAGATGCTGGTGAGGATGTGGAGAAATAGGGACGCTTTTACACTGTTGGTGGGAGTGTAAATTAGTTGAACCATTGTGGAAGACAGTGCGGCGATTCCTCAAGGATCTAGAACCAGAAATACCATTTGACCCAGCCATCCCATTACTGAGTATATTCCCAGAGGATTATAAATCATTCTACTATAAAGACACATGCACACGTATATTTACTGCAGCACTATTCACAATAGCAAAGACTTGGAAGCAACCCAAATGCCCATCAGTGATAGATTGGATAAAGAAAATGTGGCACATATACACCATGGAATACTATGCAGCCATAAAAAAGAATGAGTTCATGTCTTTGCAGGGACATGGATGAAGCTGGAAACCATCATTCTCAGCAAACTAACACAGGAACAGAAAACCAAACACCACATGTTCCCACTCATAAGTTGGAGCTGAACAATGAGAATACATGGACACAGGGAGGGGAACATCACACACTGGGGCTTGTCGGGGGGTGGGGGGCAAAGGGAGTGATAGCATTAGGAGAAATACCTAATGTAGATGACGGGTTGATGGGTGTGGCAAACCACCATGGCACGTGTATACCTATGTAACAAACCTGCACATTTTATACATGTATCCCAGAACTTAAAGGATTAAAAAAAAAAGAAAGAAAGAAAAAGAAAGCCTAACCCTCTTGCCTCAGCTCAGGAAATCTCTGCAGCCTAATTTAGGCGCCTGCGTTTCCTTGAAGGATCAGGCTTAAGCTGCCCTCTATGGGACTTCGCCTGAGATGACACCCTTATTTGCCTTCCACTCCTTCCTTGTCTTGCTTCCTTCCTTACTGGTTCTCCTGTGAGCACTCCCTCAGTAACTCACATGCACAGAAATTCTCAACTCTGTGTTGGATTCAGGGGAAGCTGGTCTAAAACAGAATCTTAGAGAGGTTCCAGCCTAGTTGTCTTTAAAAATTTTTGCTTACAGCCACACCTCAAAGGAAAACAAAACATCTACTTCTTGCCTTGGACATTTTAAATATCTATTTTTTTCGTTATGAGTTTAAGTGGTTGAAAAAGATGTAAGTTGTGACATATTATAAAAACTGACATTTAAAAATAAAACCTTAACATTTCTCTCTTAACTTATCCAACAGAGTCCACCATTATTTACTAAAAATATATGCAAACATGCTTATGTTTAAATGTCAGATAGTTTATAGTGTTCATTTCTCTCCTTAAATTTGTATTTCCCTTCCACTTTCCCCATAGAATTTCATTCTAACTCTAATAAGTTTATATGCTTTAAAATATTTCATTTGCCTAATCATAATTCTCTGCAAAAATATATATATTTAAGTGTATGTTCTTATTTTCTATGACGATAAGCTTCTATACATTAACACTTTTTAAAGATGAATTATCATTAGAATTTATCAAAACAACATATATATTTAAATTTTGGTAATTCTATTAAGACAAAAAGTAAACATTTTTGTTCAAAATACATTTATTAATAAAATGGATAGTTTTTCCCTGTTATTTTTACATATTACTGTTTTTGCTAGAGTAAGGCAAGATTTAATATCAGAATTGATAGAATTATTAATATCTATTGTTATATATTTAAGCACTGATAAATATTATTTACATCGATGGATCTTGAAGGAGTTTTATCAGAGCAATGTCAAACAATTATTTGACTTTTTTCTGAATCATATCCCGAAAATCACCCAGTAATCTTTCAAAAAGTTTTACAAAAGAATCAGTTATCCAGTCATTTAGACAACATTTTCTAATTTCTGGGAAATATTGTTTAAAAAGTGCTTTATCAAATTTATCAAATGGCTATTAATTATACCTGTTACTCTTTTACTGAGAGGCACTGTATTTATCTCAAAAAACTAAAATGTTTGGAAAAGTTTAATATTGCTAAATTAAGCACACTTGATACTTACATTATTAGTATATTTTTTGATAAAATATTTTAATCATCTTTTCTATATGTTTTTACTTCAGAATTTTGAAGCTTCAATTTAGTTCATTCACTTTATGGGAAATGTTCCCCATGTAGCCTAATTGGAAGAACTGGTCTTTATTGTAAAAGCCAATCCACACATGCTCTGCCTTTGAAAGAGTCTAATCTCATCTCTCAGTTGAAATAATTATGGTATTGGGGGTTCCTGTGATGATATCTTACTATGATTCTATTCCAAGATACAGCTCTTTCCATAGTGGGTTTTTGTTTGTTTTCTGTTTTGTGGTTTTTGTTTGTTTGTTGTTGTTTGTTTTTGTTTTTGTTTTGCCTGATAAAAGAATGCTTGCTCTCTGTTTTAGTCCATTTAGGCTGCTATAACAAACTACCATAAACTGGGTGGCTTATAAACAACAGCAATCTATTTCTCTCAGTTCTGGAGGCTGGGAAGCTTATGATCAATGCACTGGCCCATTCGGCATCTAGTGAGGGACCTGCTTTCTGGTTCAAACGTGGTGCCTTTTCACTAAATTCTCACATGGTGGAAGGGAAGAGGAGTCCCCTTGTGTCCTTTATTATAAGGACACTGATCCCATTCATAAGGGATCCACCCCCACGACTTAATCACAAATATCCTACCTCCTAATACCATGATCTTGGGGGTTAGGACATCAACATACTAACTTTGGGGGAACACAAACATTCAGGCCATAGCATTATTCATCAATATATCTCCAATATACATTCTGTTTGTTCTCATGGAAATCCCAGTCAGGAGATATACACCCTTTCACAATAGTTGGGAAATGGGAGGGGCCAGATTACAAAATGAAATTTATCATCATTGCTATCACCCTCACTCCATGATGCACCTGAATTCAAAACATTCTAACATGAGTTCAAATACCCCATTTCTAGCAACACCCTTCTTCCTTAACAGAAGTATGTACAGGATCGAAAAGATTTGAAGCCTTACTTGGGTTTATGGTGCTTTGATTAAAGAAGGACTACAGATAGAATATTTTTAAATGACTCCTGGTTTGACAATCCCCACTGCACCCCACCCCACATACCTCCCTACAGGGGTTTTACATCTGGGGCAAAGCACCGCAGTTAGATTCAGAATGGCTGAGAGATGTGCCATTTTGTGTGTGTGAACTGGGGGATGTTTTTAAAAGGGGATGCAGAAAAGGATGCCCTTCTGTGATTCCTTAGACACAAATACATTCTCAGGTAGATGGAGCCTTTTAAGACTAGCTTTTGAAATCCATGCATTGGAAAATCTTTGTGTGTCACCCAGTATGTATACCCCAGTATAAAAAACACTGGCCTCATCCAAGCTTTTCATTACACTGAGAAGAAAGTTTAGGACCAGAGCAATCAGGTGACTTCTCAAGATCATAAAGCCAGTTAGCCACAGAACTAAAACTGGCACTGGGGTGTTCTTTTCACCGTAACCACTAGCTCTGATATCATTTGTTATCATCACTGTCATCATCAACATGATCACGATTTTAAATAGCAGCTAACATTTATGAAGCTTTTACTCTATGCTAAGAGCTGTTTGAAGCACTTCATACTCATTTACTGCTTACATTAGCCAATGTCATAGGTTATATTATTATCCCCATTTTGCAGATGAGGAAATGGAAGCTCAGAGAGGCAATGTGACATGCCCAAGATCACATGACCAGTAATTGCAGAAATAGGATTCAAATTTACAGCTGGCTCCAGGATTAACTCTTTCAACTCCTGTTTCCTGAAGTGTTTTCTACAAAATACTAGCCCTATAAAATGCTGTTAAAAGATTCTGTGGCCAAATTGGTTTGATTATAGCTGTTTTCTCAGAATATTAATAGAATTTAATATTCCATTAAAGACAATAAAAAGTCCTGCAGAAAAACCCATATCTACTTATCAGTGATTTCTAGAGAAATGATTTTTTCCCAAATACTTATTAATATCCAATGAAAGGACCCCTATTAAAGAAGTCTGATTTAGACTTGATATTTATAATACTATGTCAGTGGTTCTCAACCTCTGGAGGCTCCACCTCCAGAATTTCGGATTCGGTAGGTCTGGGGTACAATCCAAGAATCTGCATTTCTAGTGAGTTCCCAGACGATGCTGATGTGGCTGGTCCAGGGATCATACTTTGAGAAACACTACAGTTGATATTGGAAAAATAAATAAGAAACAAGCCTTGGGTTTGACATAAAGAAAAAAGATACAGTTCCACTTAAAAATATCTACATTAAATTCTTGAAAATGTACTTTATAATAAGCAAACAGAAAATCTGTCCTTTTAGTAGAAATATATAATGAAAATTTCAAACAAATGGACAGGTGAAAAGAAAAGTTCAATCTCTTTAGGAAAACAAAACATGAACAAAACAACATAAAGTGATAATTTGATATAATGGATTTATATTTTTAATTGTCAAATAGATGATCAAACTTAGATAATTCAAATAGGGATAATACTAGTTGATTATATTCCACGCATAGTGTGTACTTTGAGCTTTATATGCATCATCTTCAACTTTTCAACAACTCAGAGATAGATTGTATTATTTCTGTTTCATGGCCTAACTTTAAGGTAAACTTACGTTCTATAAACATAGAGTATGAATCACTATGACGAAAGTATTGGATTAATTACTGAATTCTTAGGTAAGATGCTTCAGATGTCTGTAGCTTCCATTTCCTTATCTGCAAAAAGACAAAGTACAACTCAGTGATTCTCAGTCATTAAGCTTTCATGAGTGCAAGAAAAAGACAAGCTGATATTTTCTGAAGAGACTCAGATTGGCTTCAGGGAGCAGGGCTGGCCAAATATAACTAACCCAAGCTGCTGGCTAGAGATCTGTGAGAAAAAGAATTAAAGACATCATTTATTTCTAGATGTATATAATATCATTACAACAGAAAAATGCAGAAAACTTTTGGAGAAAATAATGAAGAATAATAACAAACAACAAAGACGCACACTTGATGATAATCCTTTTGATTCTACCAACCTTATTATTTTCAGCAGCAAATCACCTTGAGATATCTAAAGCTGTCTAACAGGAATGATTCAACCAGGATTTATAGCAGTGTTTTGCAAACTTGAATGCACATTGAAATCACCTGAGAGCTTCAAAAAACAAAACAAAACAAAAGAACTGATGCCTGTGTCTTACCTCTAGAGAATGTGACTTAATTGATATGGGGTGTGGGCTAGACTTTGGACTTTTCAAAAAAATAACTAGGTGATTCTAATGTATAGACAAGTTTGGGAATCACCAATTTACAGGGTTCTTTCCTGTGAGTAATTTTTAATTATATCCCCTGCTATAAACTGAAATGTGTCTCTTGCCCACAAATTTATACAGTGAAGCCCTAACCCCATGTGACTGTATTGAAGATAGGGCCCTTAAGGAGGCATTTAAGGTTAAATGAGGTCATAAGGGTGAAGCCCTGATTTTACGGAACCGTTACTCTTATAAAAAGAGAAAGAGACACCAAGATCCTCTTTCTATCATGTGAGGACAAGGAGAGGAGGCAGCTATTTGTAAGCCAGGAAGAGAGCCCTCATCAAGAACCTTATAGGCTGGCACCTTGCTTGGGCTTCCAGCCTCCACAACTATGAGAAAATAAATCAATGTTATTTAAGCCACCCAGTCTATGGTCTTTGTTATGGCAGTCCAAGCAAACTAATATACCTCCTCTTCAACCCACCCTCTCTGTTTCTGATCTACCCCTTATTCCTTCCTCCAGATGTTGGTAAAGCATACTGAATCAGAAGTTACCAAAACAGAGTCACTGGCAAGGCACTAAACCTCTTTGAACCTCAGTTTCTCCATCTGTGTACTAGGGATATTAATTCCTGTCTCCCACACAAGGGTTTTAAAGGGAATCCAATGAGATAATGGGTATGAAATTACCTCACAGACAGTACAGCTATTCACATGAGCAAGCTGTGTCTGGTGCTCACCACTTTCTCTTACTCAGCCTTCCTCCCTTTCAATCACCCATTTGATTTCTCATTTGTGTCCCTTCCTTAATTTCACCTGCCCAGTATGTCTCCTGCCCACTGGGTCACCAGTCATTTGACCTCACTCCAACTCCCTGGCTGTCACATATTTCTCCTTTAGGACAGGTCTGCTGGTGAGAAGTTCTCTTAATTTTCCTTCATCTGAGAATGCCTTTATTTTGTCTTTATTCCAGAGGGAGAGGGATATCTTTATTGGATATAAAATTCTGTGTCCATAGTTCTTTTCTTTCAGCACATTAAAGAGAAAAAAAAGAAGTTGTTCCACTGTCTTCTAGCCTTCATGGTTTCTGATGAGAAATCTACAGTCATTTGAGTTGTTCCCTTATTTTGTCTCATAGTTTCTTAGCTGCTTCAATATTTTTTTTCTTTATCCTTGGTTTTCAGCAGTTTGATTATGATGTGTCTGAATTTTTTTTTTAGCTTTTAAAATCTGTACATTTATATCTTTTACCAATTTGGGGGGATTTTTGGTCATTATTTCCTAAAATATTTTTTCTGCATGAATCTTTCTACTTCCCTTATGGAATTCTAGTGAAACAAATGTTAGACCCTCTGATACTCAACAAGCCTCCAAGGTTCTGTTCGCCTTTTTCGCAATCTTTTCTCTCTTCAGTTTGTATAATTGCATAATTAATCTTTCTTCAAGTTCATTGACTCTTTTTCTTTTCTTTTCTTTTCCTTTTTTTTTTTTTTTTTTTTTTTGGAGACATGGTCTTGCTCTGTTGCCCAGACTGGGGTGCAGCAGCATGATCATAGCTCACTACAGCCTTGACCTTTGGGGCTCAAGCAATTATTCCACCTCAGTCACCTGAGTACCTGGGACTATGTACAAGTGAATGACACCACATCCAACTAATTTGTTGTTGTTGAGATGGGGTCTCACCATGTTGCTCAGGCTGGTCTCAAAATCCTGGGCTCAAGTGATCTGCCCACCTCAGCTTCCCAAAGTGCCAGAATTACAGGTGTGAGCCACTGCACTCAGCCTCTCACTGACTCTTTCTTCTCTCATCATCACTCTGCTATTAAGCTCATCCAGTGAATGTTTTAAAATTTTAGATATTGTATTTTTTACTTCTAAAATTTCCTTTGGGTTCTTTTTTGTGATTTCTATTTCTCTGCTTGAAAATGTCTATCTTTCCATTCATTTCAAGTTATTTACCTTTACCTATAGAGCATACTTATAATAGCTACTTTAATGTCTTTGATCATTAACATTAGAGTCACCTTGAGGTTGGCATGTTGGTTGTCTTTTTCTTTGAGAATTGTTCACATCTCCTGGTTCTCTGTATGTTCCATAATTTTGGATTGTATCCTGAACATTTTGAATATTATGTTGTTTAGACTCTAAGTCCTGTTATGATTCTCTGTAGAATATTTTTGTTTTAGCAGGCAATCATCTCAGGTTCAGCATGCAAGTGCTGTCTGATTGTCTGTGAGTAGCAGTCACAGTTTAGTTTCTAGGGCCTTTGCTATCCTTTTTAGGGTCTTTCTCATACATGTACAGTTTAGGGAAGGGTCTGAGACTTATATAGGTCCCCTAATTCCAAGTAGAGTATTCCTTTGTTCAGCTCTCTTCTCCCTAAGGTTACCCACACATGCTGGCCCACAAGGTCTTCTTTTCCAGTTTCTCTGGCCATAAATGTGACAGACTGCCACAGTTACTACTTGAGACTGTCACTATGGCAGTTACTGCTGTTACTACTTGAGATGTCATTACAAGTTACTACTGTTACTGCTTGAGACCATCATTGTGGGACTGAAGGAAGGGACAAACACAGAAATGAAAACTTAAGACAAAAGAAACCTTTAAAGGAAGGGGAACCAGGGAAGAAGAAGAGAGCTCCCTGCTTCTAGTGAGCAAAGGCAGCCCCTGAGCTTCCACCACCCTTCATATTTATTGAGTAGCAAGAGCAGGGAGGAGGAGGTAACGATTGGTCAGCTGCTTAATTGATCACAGGTTCATATTATTACTAACAGGCTTCAGATGTACCTAATCACAAGAAACACTTGCTTTTGGGGCATGACTGCCCTCAGCATTCCTTCTGGGTGGCATACGCAGTTTGTCAGTTTGTCAACATTCTTCATTTATGAGAACAGTTTGCTCTGTACTCATATAGCCTCCAGTGGTATACTGAGTTAATCATGACCCTGACTCTTTTGGCCTTCAACAAGAAAGAAAGGGTTTCTCTTTAATTTTAAGTGTCTAGCTTTCCACTTAGCTGCCAACTGATGCCTGCCTTCAAAGCAAACCCATGACAGAAAAGGGGGAAAAAAGCAGGATTTCTTTAATGCATGGGGCCTCTTTTCCTAGTTCTTCTGGCCAAAAATATGGGGTTTCTAATGAGGTTTAGACATCTACTTCACTGCCACACAGTTCCTGTACTTAGGCTTGCCCTCAGCATAAAGCCACATAAGAAAAGAGAAAGGAAAATGGGAAACTCATGGCCCTTCACAATATACTTGCTTTTGCTTACTTTTCAGAGCCCTCAGGTAGTTGCTTTTTGTATTTCATCCAGAATTTTCAGTTGTAATCAGTGGAAAAGATAAGTGACATGGGCCTATTCCATTTTGAAACAAAAATGAACTTATTCCATTTTGATGAGAACCATATATTTCAATATACTTATATTTAATTTGTATTTTATTATATCTATCTTCTCTCTCTCTTTTTGTCTGTATTTTTCCTATTTTTCCTATATTCACTTCTCTTATTTTCCATCATTTTGCTGATTTTGTTCTCTCTACAAATAGATATATCTACAATTATACCCATATCTAAAACTATATATATGTTTATGTATGTGTGTATATATATTTATAGCTTTAACTATATCTATATTTATAAATGTGTATATATATATATATATATATATATATGTATACACACACATATATAAACTTTTTTGAAGTATACATATATGCCCCTATATGGGATTTTATTATATAAATGTCCCAAAATTTATTTTTTAATTCTGCTGTTGAGCATTTTTGTTCCCACTTTGGGGCAACACAAATAGTGCTTTTATAAACATTTTAGTACATGATTTTTGGTTAATATGTATATTCCTATAGGGTATATACAATGAAGTAAAATTACTGGGTCACTGGATATACATATTTTCAGCTTTAGTAGATACCAAGGAATATTTATTTTAAAATCATTTCCCACATGACTCTGGGACACAGCAAGGACTGTGAATCGCTGCCCTAGAGCCAATAGCTTCCGGCTGTCCATCTCCTGTTTTGCTTTTAGCTGTAGGTCCATTTCTCCACCCAGCCTATGGAGCTGCCCACAGTCTCCACACAGATCTCAGAACCATGGTGGCCTTGTCCTCTCCAGGTCCCACTGAGGCTGAGGCTCAGCTAAAGGCCTACATCTCAAACCAAGAAAACCCTAGTTGTTAAGGGAGAGAGCAGATCTCGAGTATTAAAACTCTGGAGGCTCCTTGCACAGTTCCCCTTCACCCCGATTTTGCACAAGGATGCAGGACTGCTCCTGCTTACTTGAGACCTGCTATCCTTGTTCTTGCCCCTCCAACTTCCCCATTCCCTGACTCCACACCAAGCATTTATACCTGCTTGTAATTCGAATATGTCAACAAAGACTATTTTTTGCCTTTCTGAAGTTTTATCTCCCTTGGATCCTTAGACGATAAGCCCCTCTTTTATCCTCATCCTGTCATCTCTACCTCTCCCAGTGAATTCTAACTGCTCATCTTCCACCAGGGGAAAATCCAAACAAAGGTACTTGAGGGTCTTCAGCTCTATGGTACTCACGATTACCTTCTTTTTCTTGCTGTTTATCAACCACTAGAGCTGAAATTTCTTCTAAATGTGCTTTTTCCTTGTCTTTCATTGCCAGTTTCTCAGTTGAAAAGAGCAGATATAACTTCTGCATCAAATCAGTAGCTGTCTCAGAACCACTACTATGATTGTTCCCTAATACAAGGAGATGTTGTGCCTGGGAATCAAATTCATCAAACAGATCACCATTTTCTGTCTTTATTTCATATATCCCAGGAAGAAGTCTGAGGTAATAGAGAAGAGAGATAAAAAATTAGTTAGCCAAGTCCCCTGCAAGATTAAATGTGAATACCACCAGATAATATAAGAGGAATCCATTTTATGTATGTGATTGGAATAGTCCAAGTTCAGTCCATGAATGAAATTTGACTTGTGCAATTTTCTAATATTCTGAAGGAAACTTAGACATTTGTCTCCGCAGTTTAGAATTCCAAACCAGTATAATTTCTATCATTAAATTTTTATTGAGTACTTAGGGTTGTACTTTGTAAAATCAAACTTGAAAGAATCCTTCCTGCCAATCTTCATATGTGTTTTGCTTTCTAAATGGCCAAATATTTTGTTTTGTTTTTTATGTTTTTATTCTGCTCTAAAATTGTTACATGGAATCTTTGATATAAGTTTTCTGTTTTGGCAGTACCCAATATTGGAGTTATGTTATCTACTTACTGAGAAGTTACTAATAGGAGGCTACTTTTGGTAAAAGAAACAGAAATGGAAGCAAAGTTCTTTCAAATATAAGTCCTGTTCTATCTGCGATTAATTTCAGACCTATGCTATCATCACAAACGAGTAGCATTTAAAACACACACACACACACACACACACACAAAAACACACACTTGGATCTTGAAAACTAAAATGCTATTCATTTCACAGTTTTCTTAAGAACTGTTTCCAGTTGTGGTATTACCCAAACTTGGAATTTCTCAACTCACAATACAGTGTTTTCTGTGCCACCGTTCTCTGGGTTGGGAGAGGTCATGTTAACACATGTGGCTTTCATATCTTCGGTGGGATATTTGTTGATGGCACCTGGAGAGAGAGTGGGCTGGTTAGTCTAAATTTTACCCACCTACATTATTATCTCACCCAAAGTCAGATCATGTTTTCACGTGGTTGGCAGTGTTTTCAAGAACAACTTTTATAACGGACTTCACAAAATAGGCACACTCTGACATGGAAATTCTTTGTTCTTGGCAAAGTCAAGAAGATACAGCCAGTCATTGAATAAATAATTCCAATGCTCTATCACAAATTTGTGATATACTTTAAGGACATCTCTAAATTCTTTCTATCATTTCTTTCTCTCTCTATAAAAGGAGGATCTTTCTAGAAGACTATTTTTTAAAAAATGTTTATATTTTATTTTTTTTTTAATTATACTTTAAGTTCTGGGAGAAGACTCTATTAGCTATTGAAATTGTCTGCCCTACTTATCTTCGGGTTGGGAGAAGGCACATTTTTACTTGCTACTAAACATAACTGCTAAATTCCAAGATTCCTGCGAACTGTGTAAGCCCTGGGGCTTTATGCATGCCAGAAAACCTGCAACCTTGTGATTCTCTAGTAAGTTTACAGGAGCTGCAGAGACCATTCAAAGTAGCCTCTGCCACATTCCTAATTCCCAGCACACGCTAGGACTTGTTTGATCTTACAAGGTTTTGGATGTGCTGCTATATGCATGTCTAAAGTCATAACACATGGGCAGAGGCTGGGGCAGCCACCCTTAAAGCCCCACTGTGTAAAGACACCCTAAAAAATCCCTACCAGCTGTCTGGCATAGAGGCTGTAGAGGAGATTTGTCCCTATGGCTCATAAGAATTCAAGTCAGAACTTAGGTTAATTTATAATGACAAGACAAAATAGAAGTCCTTGGAGTAGGTGGAGGGCAGTGTCAGTGTGATATTATTTATTACACCATTACACCTTGCTAAGGGTTTAGTAATTAAAGTGTGATTTACTAGACAACAGCATAGCCCTGGGGTCAGAATGTGAGGGGTTGAGTCTAGAATTTACTAATTATTACTTGTGAGATTTTAAGCACTTTATTTAACATTTCTGAATCTCAGTCTTTTCACTTGCAAAATGGGGTTATGAATACTTTCCTCTGAGGACTGCACTGAAGATTAAATGACACAATCAATTTAAAGAACCTGCCACATAGTAAACACTCACGGGTTAGGGCTAAAGGGCACTTTTCATCCATTTGAGGATTTCCTGGCTAAAACTTTGGCAGCACAGCAGCAAGGCTCATGGTCAAAAAATCTGGGAATTTTCTCTGAGATTTTTTACTGCCTCCTACTCACTTATACTCTACCACTCTTAACTGAAGTGAGGATCATTTTACTAAGTCTGCTGATGGACTGTACACAGAAACATTAAATCTATTGCAAAAGCAATCAAAGAGAATTAATGACTTACGTCTGATTAAATGGACAAATGGCTTGACAAACTTGATGATATAGTTCCAATCTGGCTTGTGGGTTCGGCCAAGTTGGACCAAGTGATGATCCAGAGGGTGGCTGGCTAATTCTTCTAATTCTTTGTCATTGTGTTTAGGGCCAAAGGAAAACACAAATATGGAGTAGCCTTGACACTTGGCTCTCAGAGACACATTCCTTAAGACGTCTTTGTCTAAAGAGTTGGTTTCGCCAGCAGATATTACAAAGATAACTTTGTTTTTCCTCAGATTGGGGGTTCCTACAAAGACATTGTCAATTGTCCACTGCAAGGCATGGCCAATAAAAACATCTCCATTGAGCTGTTGAGAGTCTTGGAGATGATGTTTCATTTGGTGTATACTGTTATAAGTAACCAAATCAAATTCCAGGTAGACAGGGCATTCTTCAGTGTTAGGCATATAGCCTGGAGGAGAGTAGCTCAGGACAGCAACCCTGTCTCCTAAGGTGGAGGTCAGTGGAGTGGGGGCAATGTGAAAGTAATCAAGCACTGAGGTTATAAAAGCTTTTACTTCCTTAAACTCATCACTTCCTACTCTTTGGGAAGCATCTATGAGGAAAGCCACATCCATGTAATATTCTTGAAGAGAGACATCTCCAGGTTCATAAGTATGATCTGGTTCTTCTTTTCTGCCATAATTTTCATGTCCTGCAACAGAATAACTCAAGTCATTCTTTTTAATGGAAAGATAAGCTTGGAGCTCCTAGTCATAGATGGCAAATACACAGCATGAGGTTATTACCATGCTGCATTTCCATACTCATGGCAGACATCAATAATCACATTGCTTGTTCCCAGATGCACCCTCCAAATCTGTACCCACATAGCGCATGCAGAGCCATTACCATTTGACATGTATTGTCACATAAGAAAAAACCCATTTGCTATCCTATCTCAGATCTTTGTGAAAGGACTGATTTATCCTCCAGCTATTTTAATATGCAAGTTGAGAAACACTCATTTTTAATGTACTCCACATGGCTAAAAAACTTGAAGTACACATGTGCATGAAATTTAATTATATGTAATAACCTCAAGAGAAAGTATAGATATTAAAGTTACATTTATTGGTAGCAAAAGCACAAAAACCTTTATATATGTGTTCAAAGTATGCACCATAGAGCAATGTCATGAGAGCAAGTATAAACAAGTGCTGATTTTGGAATCTAAATGCTGTGTGAGATATGACATACTCTAAGAACCTGGTACTCAAAGTGCCTGCAAACAGTTCATCAGCCCATTTTAAGGTAAGCAGTTTGCACCATGATGTAAGTCAACTAAATTACTAAGCACACTGATTAGTTCAGCTGACATTTATTTATTTATTTATTTTCATAGCAAGACTTTCTCCTTGAAGAAAACATTGCCTTGATTTACATTCCGAGCCAAGCTTCTTATCTTGCTGCAGATGAGCACTTCAAGTAGCTCTGCTCTAAGCCTAAGGGATCATGAAGCCTGTCTACAATCATATGAATGATGGCTGATTGGTGAGGCGTCAACAGGAAATGCCAGTTTGGAAAGACAGGAAGTAGATGGCCAATGTTCTTTGCTTCTATGAAAGAAGTGAATTTGTGAACCTAATCAAGCAAAAAGTAGATTTTTAACTGCCAGAAATTTATTGATCTCCATTTCTACTCAACCCTTTATTAGATACTTTTACATTAATTCTCACAACAACAAATGAGTCAACCTGTATTAATGCTGTAAGCCTAATATAGAAATAAAATGCCAGAAAAATACCCCACCACCATGGGTGAAGTTATTAACAGTGAAATGCTATATTAGATAATTTTTGATGGTTAAATGAGCCCTGCCTTCCAGTATAAATTCCATATTATCTCATTACAAATCTATTGTTGGATTTAACTTGCTAACATTTTCTTTAGAATTTTGCATCTGTGTTCACATCCTTGTGAATGATGTTCTGTAGTTGGTCAGTAGTTTCCCTTTCATGTAATGTCTTCGTCTAGTTTTGGTATCAGGGTAATCTGGCCTCAAAAAATGAGTTGGGAACATTCCAAATCTACTCTTCTAGCTATTTTGAAATATGCAATAAATTATTGTTAACTGGTGTTAACTTTAAAATATATAATAAATTATTATTAACCATGAGAACACTAGATCTTATTCCTTCTAATAAGTATTTTGTGCCCATTAACCAGCTCTTCTTTATTCCCCCCTCCCTATTAGCCTTCCTAGCTTCTGTTAACCACCATGTTATTCGCAGATATCCCAATTATCCAGATTTGATCATTACACATTGACTGCTTCTATCAAAATATCACATGTACCCCAAAAATATGTACAACTATTATGTATTCATAAAAATTAAAAATAATAAAATGAAGTAAGTCAGTTGTGAAATATTCCCTTTTCTTTTATGTTCTGGAAGAGTTTTTGTAGAATTGGTATTATTTCTTCCTTAAATTTTTAGTTGAATTCACCAGTGAAATCATCCATACCTGGAGTTTTCTTTATGGGAAGATTTGAACTACAAATTCAATCTCATTAATAGGTATAAGGCTACTTAGGTTATTTCTTCTTGAGTAAGCTTTGGTAGTTTATACATTGCAAGAAATTTGTGTATTTTACCTAAGCTGATTTATATGCAAAAGATTGTTCATAATATTCCCTGGTTATCCTTTTAATATCCTTGGAATACATCTCCCCTCTCATTTCTGATATTGGAAAGTTGTGTCTTCTCTTTGTTCCTGGTGAGTTTAATTATACATTTATCAATTTTATTGATCTTCTCAAAGAAACAACTTTTGGGTTTATTGACTTCATTGTTTTTCTTTTTTCAATTTCACTGAATTCCACTTTATTTTCATTATTTTCTTTCTCCCACTTACCTTGGGTTTATCTAGTTCTTCCTTCTCTGATTTCTTAAGGTAGAAGTTGTGATCATTGATTTGAAACATTTCTTCTTTGTCAATATAGGCATTTAATGCTATTTATTTTCCCGTAAGTACTGCTTAAGTGGAACCTGAAATTCTGGCACAGTGATTTTATTTTCTTTTATTTCAAAATATTATACTTTCTAATGTCCCTTTTTATTTATTCTTTGACCATGGACTATTTAAAACTGCTTTATTTAGTTTCCAAATACTTAGGGAGTTTTCAAAGATCTTTCTGCTATTGATTTCTAATTTAATTCTGTTTCAGTCAGAGAACACATTTGCTATCACTTGAATCCTTTAAAATGTTGAGCATTGTTTTATGGTCCACAATATGGTCTATCTTGGTAAATGTTTCATGTGCACTTGAAAAGATTATATATTCTACTGTTGGTGGAGTGTTCTACAAATGTCAGTTAGGTCAAGTTAGTTGATAGTGTTGCTCAAGCCTACTATATTCCTGCTGATTTTTAATCAATGATTGGGAGAAGATCCTGAAACTAACTAATACTCTTTTCATTTTTTATATCTTTTTTTCTTTGTATTTCATTTTGGAGAATTTCTATTGCTATGTTTTCAAGTTTGCCAATCTTTTTGTTTTGCCAAATCTAATTTGCCATTATCCCATTCAGTGCATTGTTCCTCTTAGACACAATGGTTTTCAACCCTGCAAATTCTATTGGAATCTTCTTTTTATATCTTTCATGTTTCCACTTAACTTTTTAACATATTGAATACCGTTACAATGACTGGTTTGATATCTTTGCTAATTCTAACATCTGTGTCCGTTGTGGTTTGGTTTTAAGTGATTATACTCTTCATTATGTTTTGTGCTTTTCTGCTTCTTATGCCAGACATTGTGAAATTTTCCTTGTTAAGTGTGAAATACTTTTGTATTCTTGTAAATATCCATGTGCTTAGTTCTGGAAGGCAGTTAAGTTGCATGGAAAGAGTCTGATCCTTTTGGATCTTGCTATTATGATTTGCTAGATGAGTCTAAAGCAGTGGTTAATTCAGGGCTAATTATTTCCTATTACTGAGCCAAGACCTTCCTAAGTTTTCTCCCCATTACTATGTGAATTATGTTCTTTTCCAGGCTTGCTGGTGGGAAAAAAAACATGATTCCTAGCCCTGTTGAGCAAATGGCACTATTTTAAGAGGGTTCTTTCCCTGGTCTCAGGTAATTCCTTCACATGCATGTGCTGTCAATACTTTCCTGAATAACCCAGCGAGACCCTCCACAGACCTCTGGGGTTTACTCTCTGTACAGTTATCCCTCTCTGGTATCCCACCCTGTCAGCTCTCACTGCCTTGGTCTCCCTGTTCTCTCAGCTCTGACTCCTCAGCTCCAGGAGCTCACTGGGCTCCTCCTCAATGCCCTCTTCTTGTACCATGTCCTGAAAACACTCAAGGCTATAAGCTGGAGCACTTGTAGTGTTCATCTCATTTGTTTTCCTTCTCTAAAGATTACTGTATTTCATTTCCTAATGTCCAGTGTCTTAAAAGTTGTTATTTCAAATGTTTTGTTTGCTTTCTTTTGTTTATTACAGTTGTGAGGTAAATCCAACTTCTTTACTCCATCTTGGGCAGTTCTAAAAGATGACAACTGACCATCTTGTTTGAGATGCTTCTTTTGCTTCTTGCAAAGGACTAAGAACTGGTCATATATACACCACATTCTTCCTTTATCAATACATACATTTATAGTAATTGACCAGGATTTTGCATCACACAAGCATGTTTGAAATTTATGGGCCTCCTACTCTCCACCAGGAACCCAGTGGCAAACTCTTAGAATTCCTGGTCAAGATTGAGGTCCCTGATTAAACAACAAAACATGAAACTAGAAGTGCAGACCACAGCACATATTTTGTATTCTTTGCACATCACCACCAAAAACACTTCTAGAGTTCTCAGCCATAGTGTGTTAGGAATTGTGAAGATTAATTAAATGAACATTTCTAACTTTTTGGAGTTTGTGATCCTTTTTGGAGTTTTGAAGTTGACTAACCATTACCTGAGATGTTACCATGATCTCTGTTTTTCAACTACAGTATTTCAATTTCTTTAAAAAGGCCAACCAACACACTTTGTTAAACATAAAGAAAAGCATTGCTGGGTGTGGTGGCTCATGCCTGTAATCTCAACACTTTAAGAGGCAGAGGTGGGAGGATCGCTTGAGGCCAGGGGTTCAAAATAAGCCTGGGCAACATAGTGGACTCATCTCTGCAGAAAATTTTAAAAATTAGCTGGGTGTAGTGGTGTGTGCCTCTAGTCTCAGCTACTATTGAGAGGCTTATGCAGGAGGATCGCTTGAACCCAGGAGTTTCAGGCTGCACTGAGCTGTGACCACACCACTGCATTCCAGCCTGGGCAACAGAGCAAAATCCTATCTCTAAAAAGAATGAAAAAGAAAAAGAATTTCATAAATGTTCTAGTAGAAGCAAAATAATTAACTTACCATGTCAGTGAAATATTGTTTTCTGCAAGCCCATATCAAAAATATTACTGTTTTTCCAGTTTTCTCTTTATAAATAAGCAAAATCTCAATCCTTTTCTAAAATACCCCTCAGAACTATTTTCTAAAGAGGTATATTTCATCTACAAAATGTCTAAAAATAGGTTACCTCCCAACTTATAGGACTAGCATGAGAATCACAGAAGCTAAATGTGGATGATGTACCTTGAAAACTCTAAAATTTAGTCAAAGGTGTGATTATTCTACTTGGAGTCTAAATTCATCTTACTTAGGGAGACAAGGTCTTCAAAAATATTTTCTTTCAAGATAATCTGGCAGAAGTGTGGATAAAATATATCCATAGCTCACAATGGCGCTGTGTATTTTCTGGAAATGTCAACCCAGCCAAATTCTCATCTTCAACTCTGTGAAAGAATTTCCTTAGAATGGCAGAGGAAGGGGAGCTGGCTTGCTTTCCTATGGGCAAGATTTGGAAGGAATTAGGGATTCAGCAGAATTTCCAGGGAAGCACCCCCAGAGAGTAGCCTGACTTTGGCCAATGACTTAAGCCACAACACCAAATGTGCTCCAGTAACATTAGGGAGAAGCGGGGGTGGAAAGGAAACTTAGAGAAGGGAGACTCTGAAGGACTTGGGCCATCTGGACTGGGATTAGATATGCTGTCAGGCTGCTATGCTGCCTTTCATGGCATTTGTGGGAAATCTCAAGATATGCATGAGTTATCCAGTGGCCTGCTTTGAAATTTGAAATTTGTTCAGGGGCCAAAATTAACCATGTGTTCTTCATAGGCAAGCCACATGTACAATTGAGGCTACTTGATGTGTGAGGTTCTGTCCAGATGAACTGTAGCTAATATTTTTCAAGTTGACATTTTTTACAATGACTTCCCATGAGATTAGCAGTACTTTCTTTTGGCTTTTCTACTTTCTTAGTATTTAATCAAACACTCAGTTTGCTTCGGGTCTTGTGCTCAGCTCTACGCTTGTCTTCTTTCATTTAATCTTCCTTGAAGCACTATGAGGGCAGAATAATCATCATTTCCATTTTACAGATGAGCAAACCAGTGCTTGGCAAGGGTGAATGAGTTGGCTAAGAAAGGATGGCTGATAAGTGGTAGAGGCAGGATTTGAACCCAGCTTTGTCTAGCTCCTTCAGAAGAACTGGTCATTAGAGATGAGATTCTAGCAGAAACATGAAAGGACCCATCAACCAGCTCACTTAAGGCCCTGGGACCTGGTGTGAAAAATGTGCTTCTCAGCCAATGGCTGTTCCTTCTGATTGAAGCCACCAGAGAACGTTTTCTTCCAAAAGTAAGCAACTATATACGAACTAAATGCAATTTGTAATTTTTCTCTTCTTAGGCATTGTAGAACAGTGATTATCAGCAGAATATTCAGAGTTTCAGTCCTGCCTCTGTCATCTGTTAACTTTGTGACCTTGAGTTTTCTCCATGCCTCAATTTCATTATCTTAAATATATGTAACAATATACTACAATCTTACAAGGTTTTTGAGAAAATTAAAGTTTGCACCATGCTGTGCATATCCTAATTACTCCACAAATATAATTTTTAGAAAGAAACAAAGAAAAGTCTCAGGCATCTGAAAATCCTTCCCATGACAGTATATTATCCAAACCAGGACTTCCACGAAAAAAGCAAAGTCAGCTGGTCTAGCTTACAGACACATGCACAAGTGTACAGATGCTCTCAGAAACGAGAACTCTCATTCTGTTGTGCTGACGCATGCTTAACTTCAAGGAGTAGGCAATCATTCATACCCCTCTCCACTTATCACTGCCAGCCCAGGCCCATCACCCTTCCTGTCTGGTAAAGTCACTGGTCAAGTTCTAAAGGCACGTGTTGGGGCAACAAAGGAGGCAGGCACAAATATGTATGTATCTGATGGATGTCATCGATTTTATGCCTAAGGGAAATATAGACACATTAAAAATTATCTTGTTTTGCTGTTTGAAGTCCTCTTCCCTCATCTACCTGAATAAGTAGGAATGACTGTCTTAAAATAGACTTCATCCTTTTCTCCGAAGACTTAGAATTCATGTCTTTTTGGCCTAGACTTTTCTAGGTGGCATTTAGATGATAAAAGTGAGCCTTGTGGGTCATTTCACACTCTGAAACAGTAGTCTGCAGAAAGGGACCAGCACACTGAGAAAAGGCAATGCATGCCTTAGGAGTCATTTACACCCAAATGACCTCGGATATGGCTTGTTGGTTTTAATGGAGTTATTCTGTGCTCCATGCCTCTGGATGAGTTTATAAGAAGGTTTTTTTTAAAAAAAAAAAAGTTAATTTAAATTTAAAAATAGAATTGTGCCACCAAAACTATTTTAAAATAATTCTCCCAAATGATTACATGATTTTACATGATTTAGTTTATATTCAAATTTGGCCATTGGATATATCTCCTCATTTGTAAATGCAGAAATGACCATCACCAGGCAACATGGCATACATTGTTAAAAGTCCATGTTTTTGTGTTGAAGGTCATGTTTTTGGATCCTGCCTCTGCCACTTACAAGCTACATGAATTTGTGTGAGGTTCTTAACCTTTGCATCAGTGTCTTCATTTGTAAAAGGAAATAATGATAGATTTAATTTAATAAAGATTAAATAAAATAATGTCTATAAAGTGCTTATATGGTGGCTGGCCCATGGTTGCCCTCAATAAGCAGTAGCTTCTGTGATTACTATTATTCCTCATTCATTGTTCATCAGTCAAGTGATACAGTGTATGCAATACTTTGAAAGGTGTCCTGCATAGAATAAATATTGATCCCCCCAAAGCATGCCACTTTTTTTTAACTGAACTCAATACTTCCTGAATTGTAGTAGTCATTTTTTATACACACAGAATATACCTGACAGACGAAAAGCTTCTTGAAGACAGAGCTTACGTCTGAGTCTTTTTTTAAATCTCCCTGATTTCCCCAAAAAGTCCACTTCAGGGCTTAATTCAGAACAGGACCCAAAGACATATTTGTTATATGAAAGAATGTCTGAATAGTTAAGGAAAACTCCATGCAAAAATTTAAGAGTCTTTTCATATAGTAAGCCCTCTATGAGGGCTGCCATCATCCAACCAACTTGCCGTCACCACTACCACCACAGCCATCACCACCACCACCACTCTCACTACCACTCCACCATCATATCTTACTTCCATCACCAGTACCACCACCACCACCACTGGCATCATTACTATCACCTCCTCACTATCACCATTATCACTACCACCATCACCACCCCACCTTCATACTTTTATCTCCATCACCACCACCTCCACCACCACCAATATTACCACCACCACCATCCCTACCACCCACCTCAACCACAACCATCAGCAACAGCAAACACCTTCACTACCATCATCTTCACTACTACCATGACCAGCACCAACACTATCATCACCACCGCCTCCATCACCATCACCACCATTGTCACCTACTTAATACTTCAAGTATCCACGTTTTATTCCATTAGAAAGGGTCACATAACATAAAATGTCACCAACACTCTAGAACATTCATTAGTTGCAACAAATGATTGCACAAAACATACAGAAGCAACATCAATGTACGTCTGAATTCAGATAGTCCACTTATTCTGAACCCCCAGTTTACATTCATCTTGTTCACATGTGAAACCTTCACAGAAGACAATCAAAACTATAATGACAATATTAATAACAAATTGCCAAGCAAAAGGAAATGTAAACATCTCAGTCTACAGCTTAAAATGAGGTAATGGGAGACTCAGTTTATTCCACAAAGAGCAACACAGTGGTTGAGATTTCTTAATGATTTCATAAAACATGTTATTAAAATCCAGACATTGCTACAATTCTGCTGCTGATTTCTTCCTTGAAAAGTGTACTGATAGGAAAGCAGAACATTCAGCTGATGTTCCTTGGATGACTCAGAAGCCAATACTGCTGCATTTTATTCTAGTGCAGATTTAAATTTAGCCCAAGTAAAAATATACATTCAAGTTTGATACATGACAGCAAAATTGAGAAGGAATCCAAGTATTCAAAAAAAAGTAAATGGTCAAATACATGCATTCATTCATCAAAAGGAACATTTTGAGAACATTTAAAAAATCAGTATGAAGCTTATGGCAATATAGAAAATGTTGTGACATAATATCATGTGAAAAGCAGGATATGCAATTAAATAAAACTGTAAACCTATATGCCCACGAAAAAACAAAAGAACATACTCTGCATTAAAAAAAAACTCAATTTGCTAAATTGTTTGATTTGAAACTTGGTATTTGAATTTTTATGTGGTATAATAGTACTTTTATCATTTGTAAAAAAAAAATATAGTAGAATCTTGGACATGTAATAAGGGAACAGCAGACAGGGTGTAGAAGTAGAGAGCCTGTCTAGTGAGTCTGCCAGTTCCATAAACTTGGGGGCATGAGGTTTCTTCTAAAACATTTCCCTTAAAAGTGACTTGATAATTCATTGTTGTGAGGGGCTGTCCTGTACACTGGAGAATGTTTAGCAATGATCTCTATTCACTAGATGCCAGTAGTGTCCTCCAGTTTTGACAATTAAAAAAATGTCTCCAGACGTTGCAATATATCCCCTCGGGTGGGGTAGGGTAGAGCTGCTCCCAGGTGAGTTTTTACCAGGTCATCACTAATACCCTTCCAGTTCTATTATCTTACGATTAATTCAAAGCAAAAAATAAATATATTGGCTCTAAAAACAAAACAATTTATAAATCAGAATAAGAGTAAAGTTAGAAAAATTAAAAACAAAACCTGTGTAAATTCCCTAAAGCATAACTCCAGCTTAGTCTGAAGGCTCAAGTGTTGCTTCTCATTTCTTAATGAGCTCATTGAAACGAACATCAGTTGAAGTTATCCTAAGGCCTGGGGCTGCTTAAAGCTAGGAGCAGGGCCTAGGCTGAGTTTGGGTTGGTACTTAAAACGCGTTACAAATTATTCTGTTTTTTAATTCTGAAGGTAGATTAGCTGTATCTTAAGTACTGGTTAATACAACATTTAAAAAACATTTCACAAGAAAACATCTGCAAGCATAGTACAGCATCTTTGGCGAAAGTGCTAATTTACCAGTGGGTCAATAGTTGAAATTTAATTAGAATTAAACTACCCATTTTAAAATTACATAATTTCAAAGAACAAAGTGCATTCTGTTGGCAAGTAATTAGAAGGGACTGCATGTTGCAAGGGATTTTTATATTGCAGATGTTATGTTCAAAAAGCCTGTTAGTATCTCTCGATAATCTCTACATATTTAGATCTTAAGTGTGTTTTGTCAGATAGATGTTGGATGGATAGATGGATGTTCTTGAATAAGATAAAATTATAATCTACTTCACCTGGAACTCTTTAGCAACACAAATTCTCATTTCTATTCTGTGATTCTAGATACCCAATTGTTTTCAGCTCCATTGAGAGCACAGATTAAATCTGGCACACCAAAATGGTCAAACATGCAGTGGCCCTTAAACTTCTGCCTACATCAGAATCACCTGAGCTGCTTGTTAAAACCCAGATTGCTGAGTCCTGCTCCCAGAATTTCTGATTCAGTAGTCTAGGACAAGTGCTGAGAATCTGCATGTCTAATGAGTTCCCAGGTGATGCTGATGCTGCTTGTGTAGGAACAACACTTTGAGAACCACTGACATAGTTGATCTCAAGCTTGAGGGCATACAAATATTACCTACAATGGTTATAAAGTTTGTAGCTTTCTCCTCCTCATTCACACTCCTAAATATGAAACAGTAGTTATCAGGAGGGCTTAGGAATCTGTGCTTATAATGAGCTTCCAGATAATTCTGATATAGGTTGTCCTTCGGCTGCTTTAAGTAAAAGGAGGGCCAGGAAAGGTGGTAGAATTGAAGATAATTTCAATTCAAACCAGAGCAGATGGGGAGAAGAAGAGAAAGAGGTATAGGTAGGAAGATAGTCAATGATTGTGCTTCTTTTGAAAGAGGGTGATACACAAGTCATTGCCAGCTCACAGGACTCTGGGTACTAAAAATTTCTTACATGGTTAAGATTCCTGACTTTTCCCAGCCTCTCAGTTTAAGAGCAGAAAGCTCAGCCATCAGCCATAAGAATTAGATTATGAATGGGTAACAAACACAGCATATGGAGGTGCTTATGAAACTTATCAACCTTTTATTTATGCCATACATCTGGAACTTATCAAAGCTCATTCTGAGTGACTGAATAAAATATCTGAACTACAACTCACTCTACAGGACAGCACACTATACAGAAAACTCAGCAGTTTTTGGCAACTGGCTAAAGATGATTGAAAGAAAGAAAAGAGAATAGCACGAAGTTCCTAGAAAACACTTATGATCTGAGACTCACATTTATTTTAAAGGATTAAAAAATACACATTATCCTTCTGTCTGAAACGCTCAGTGTTTCCAGGCTACCCCAACCTGACATAATCATCCCCAGAACTCTCAGCATACTTCAACTCACTGTAGGAGAAACTGGGTGGGGTAGGATTTACATTTTTTTCCCTGCTAGAGCTATGAACAATTATTTCTTCAGCCAAATGGGACCTTACACTAACTATACAGATCTTGATTCTCAGAAAGCTGAAAAAAATCAATGAAAAGTCTTTCTTTTATACTGAACATCAGTCATTAACAATGACTGATGCAAAGATGGCCTTCTTTGCTTCATTTCTTTCATATCCAGTCATATCTGTCTTTCCTGAAAAGGCTCATGCTTCTAAATTACCAGACTTTGGAATGCTTAGCTCTAACAAAGCTATCACAAATGACAATTTGATACTCTAACCCTCTACCAAAACACCTCTTCTTCTCTTTTTTCCCCTTTTTAAACCAAACCATAATAAATTATTGTGCCTTGAAGGCTACTCTAATTTGCATGTCATTAAAATGAACATGCACAATTAACATCCATTAAAAAGTACAAATCTTCAATTTTCTTCTTCAGGCTATGTCTACATGAAAATAAAAAAAGTTTTAACTAAAAAAATACACATTTGAATGTCTTAATGCCATGGTACTACATGTATCTAGTTTTACTGCATCACTACTTTTTTTTGAGCTAAGATGCCTATTTTTCAACTAATGATTGTCTTTTTTATCCTTAATTGTAGCTTCTACAAAGGTAAGTTTAGCTGTTTTAAAGATAAGGTTCGAGTATTTATATTTTAGAAATAATTGTGGGGATGTAAGTGTTAAACCCAAGAAAAAAAATTTTATCCCAGGAAGCTACTAAGAATGAATATTATAGTACAAAACTGGCCCCTTTTTCTCTTATACTTATGTACTCTAACTACCATATGATACTTTTGGAACAGTGCTTAAAATGCTGACATTCTGCCAAACAAGCATTTTAGAAGATTCCAGATGCATAGATGGAATGGCTGAATAGTCTCTTTGGAATTAAAAATACATATATTTTTAATTTATATGGATATAGAGTAGGTGTATATATTTATGGGGTACATAATATGTTTTGATACAGGCATGCAATGCATAATAATCACATCATGGAGAACGGGGTACCTCATTCTTATCATGGAATGATGAGAATCATCATTTATCTTTTGTATTACACAATCGAATTATACTCTTTTGGTTATTTTTAAATGTTTTTAAAATTATTGACTATAGTTACCCTGTTGTGCTATCAAATAGTAGTTCTTCCTCTTTTTTTCCTTTTTCTCTACCCATTACCCATTCCCACCTCCCCTCACACTTTTTAATGAAAATATAGACATACTCCTTTGTATCTGATTTGTTTGAAATTATTACATTTTTACAAAAGTTATTGCTTTGCCATTAAAATGTATAGAGTAGGCATCAAGGGAGTTTATGTTCTATCATTTCTGGGTACCACAAAAATAAAACATACTTTCTTATATTATCACAAATTCTGGAACACTGGCCAGACCAACTTTAAAAAGTCATTTTAAAGAGAATCGCTTGAACCCGGGTGGCGGAGGTTGCGGTGAGCCAAGACCACACCATTGCACTCCAGCCTGAACAACAAGAATGAAACTCCATTCCTCCCCCCAAAAAAAAGTCATTTTAATCCCTCCTTTGTTCTGATGTTCACTATACTGCTTCCTTCTACATCATACTAACCTTCTAAACTGTGGATGCTAGAGAAATCTTAAGCTTGGTAAGAATATCAGGGACATTTCTGAGAGGTTCTATCAGTGATCTCCCTAGCAGTGCCTGTCACCATTCACTTCTTCAATTTCAATAAAAGTAGAAGTTGTATCTACCATAATGAACTTTAAAAAAAGTTGCTTTAGATACCAGCCTTAATTTATTTGATTTTCTACTAGTGTTAAAAGATGAGGATCCTGGCTATTTAAACATTTCCATCATGACTTTTCATTTTCTTACCAGAAGTGAGACTTGCAATTTCTGCAGATTTTTGATCTTTTTCATAATTGATCATTAATTTTTGTGGCTCAAACATTTGGCTTGGAAGGTAAACCAAATAGTCACTTCCATTGTCTTCCGTCTTTACAAAAGGTGATTCTCTCCCAGAATTTAATTCTTGGCCAATGAAGCCATTACCTCCCAAAAAATCCTCTTGTAGCTCAGTAACAAATCTAGAAGAAAAAAAAACTTTAGGTGAGTCTAGATAACTTTAGAGAAGGAGGCAAATAAAACATCCTTAACATTTAACATATTTAATTATCTCCTTAAAAAACCAATTGGGTGGTGAAAATATAAATCCATTTCAATCAAATAATTCATTGAGATTCATTATACATATTATTTTTTAAAACTCTGATAAGATTTTCTACTTATTCTACCTTTTCTCACAACTGTCTAGAGCCTATTAAGTACTACTTTGGAATAACCAAGTTTGATTTGTGCAGAGTTTTATTGTTTGTTTGTTTTTTTTTTTTTGAGACAGGGTCTTGCTCTTTTGAGACAGGGTCACCCAGGCTGGAATGCAGCGGTGCAATCACAGCTCACTGCAGCCTCAACCTCCTGGGCTCTAGCAATCTTCCCACCTCAGCCTCCTGAGTAGCTGGGACCAAAGATGCATGCCACCATGCTGGGCTAATTTTTAATTTTTTGTAGAGATTGGTTCTTGTTGTATTGCCCAGGCTAGTCTCAAACTCCTGGGCTCAAGTGATCCTCCCTCCTCAGCCTCCCAAACTGCTTAGATTACAGGTGTGAGCCACCATGTCCAGCATTTTCAGAGTTTTAGATAAGTGAAAAGAAACTCACAAGCATTTGGAACAATCATATTATATCTCAGATTGATACCAATCACCATGGAAAATGCAGAAAATACTTAATCTACCAAGCACTGCTGTGAGAAAGTAAGATTATATAAAACATAACCCATATCAGTGCCTCTTAAAATAGTGTCTACATTTATAATCATAGCAGTTTAAGAGTTCTCTGTGATAATTTGAGAATTTTGTGTTTTTATTTGGATGATGTTATAAAACATATTCAATAGAAGTTTATTCTTGATTATGCAATTTTATGTAATTTCAATGTCCGTGTTTGCATTTGCATTTGATACTGATGTTTGGCATCCAGTAATATGATTTTAACTGTTGAGAGTTAATGAGGAGAGGAAGAAAAGTCAGATGTAATACATAAATAATACATTCACACCAAGAGAAAATCAAGTGACATCACGTGTGATGGCACACTGTGTGAATAATTTTGCAGTAGTGCAGGTGAAGATATGTGGTGGAGAATCATGTCATCATGTAACAGAGGAGGCAAGCTGCATGTAGACGTTCTTCTGCAGCATGCACCATATTTTATATATTTTACCAATGTCTACCTTTTTTTGGTTTTTAAAAATTCCATTTTGACAAAGAAGAATCATTCATTGCATTAAGTTAGTGTTGAAAATTTTTGTCTCACTGAGTTTGTCTGGATTTGATGTATTAACTTGTTGTGGTTTAACAGCTGCATAAGAACTATAAGTGTATAATATTTACAGCTAGATTTGTGTTTGTAAATGTTTAAATAACATTATAATATTTTGTCTGCTGTCCTATAGGAATTGGTTTTCCTTGTAAATGACTTTATGATTTATTCAAGGTTGGGAAACACTGCTTCACATAAGATCAGTGCCACATCGTCCTTCAGAAGGTGTTGGCTGCTAGACGCTTCCCTGTAAAATTACCAAGTAAATGAAATCTGACATTAGAGGAACATATGCTTGCATGAATTCTGGAGAACTCACCTTTCCATTTTGCTCCTGGGTGTATCAAAGAGACCTTATCTGCTCTGAGAAGCTCCTTTGCTTAATTGCAATTTGAGAAGATGGGGTGATTATGGGCCTAAACCTGGGCTTTCACAGGCTATAGTCAGGGATCTAAGCTCGAAGAAGCACACAGAAAAGAAGAAAGCAACCAAGATGGGCCACTTTCACTCAGTTTGAGGGCAAAGATTCATTCAGACTAATTTGTTATATTTTTATTTAGGATACAATATCAAGGAACACTATTTATATGTGCAATTATATTGTGGAGTCTTTTATGCTAACTTTTGGGGATGAAACATGAATCATATGTAGCCTCAGACTTCAGCAAGATAAGATCTTGGGTAGGCCGTAATAAGTGCCTCAGCAGTGCTATAAAAAACAACTATGGGTTTTGATGGAGAGTAAACATTGGCTTCTGTTGCGGGAAGTCAGGGACCCCAAACGGAGGGACCCGCTGAAGCCATGTCAGAAGAACGTGGATTGTGAAGATTTTATGGACATTTATTAGTTCCCCAAATTAATACTTTTATAATTTCTTATGCCTGTCTTTACTGCAATCTCTAAACATAAATTGTGAAGATTTCATGGACACTTATCACTTCCCCAATCAATACTCTTGTGATTTCCTATGCCTGTCTTTACTTTAATCTCTTAATCCTGTCATCTCGTAAGCTGAGGAGGATGTATGTCACCTCAGGACGCTGTGATGATTGTGTTAACTGCACAAATTGTAGAGCATGTGTGTTTGAACAATATGAAATCTGGGCACCTTGAAAAAAGAACAGGATAACAGCAATGTTCAGGGAACAAGAGAGGTAACCTTAAACTCTGACCACTGGTGAGCTGGGCGGAACAGAGCTGTATTTCTCTTCTTTCAAAAGCAAATGGGAGAAATATCACTGAATTCTTTTTCTCAGCAAGGAACATCCCTGAGAAAGAGAATGTGCCCCTGAGGGTGGGCCTCTAAAATGGCCCCCTTGGGTGTGGCCGTATTCTATGGTCGAAACTGTAGGGATGAAATAAGCCCCAGTCTCCCATAGTGCTCCCAGGCTTATTAGGACAAGGAAATTCCCACCTAATAAATTTGGTCAGACCAGTTGCTCTCAAACCCTGTCTCCTGATAAGATGTTATCAATGACGATGGTGCCCGAAACTTCATTAGCAATTTTAATTTCGCCCCAGTCCTGTGGTCCTGTGATCTCGCCCTGCCTCCATTTGCCTTGTGATATTCTATTACCTTGTGAAGTACGTGATCTCTGTGACCCACACCCTATTCGTACACTCCCTCCCCTTTTGAAAATCCCAAATAAAAACTTGCTGGTTTTGCGGCTTGTGGGGCATCACGGAACCTACCGACATGTGATGTCTCCCCCGGATGCCCAGCTTTAAAATTTCTCTCTTTTGTACTCTGTCCCTTTATTTCTCAAACTGGTGCATGCTTAGGGAAAATAGAAAAGAACCTACATGAATATCAGGGGTGAATTTTGCCCGATATCTGGCTGAATTTCCCCCAATATCTGGTGCCCATGTGGTCTTTCTTTTTTCCTAAGTGCATGAGGGAACCCGATTCCCTTTGGTAGGTGCGGAGAAACGTCATCGGTTTGGTCCACAGAAACACGTGTTCGACTCCCTGACAAGTGGTGAGTAGTCTGTGTATGGTCTGGGTTAACTATGGGTCATGCAGAGTCTAAGCATCATGCTTATCTCTGCTATATTAAACTCCTGTTAAAACAGGGTGGTGTTTGAGTGCCTATGGAAAATACGGTCACTCTATTCAGGGCAGTAGAAGAACACTGTCCTTGGTTTCCTGAAAAAGGAACCTTAGATGTAGAACTATGGGATCGTGTTGGTGCAACATTCAAGGAACTGGTCTCCACAGGGAATTATATTCCCGTCACTGTTTGGGGTGACTGGGCCTTGGTACCTGCTGTCCTAATGACATACCAATCCCATGATCCCCTACAGTTACCACAATTTTCTGAATCTGACGATCCTCCACCTTTTCCTCAACCTTCCTCTCTGGCACAGCCTTCGTTACCTGATCAGCCTCTCCCTCTGGCTACTCCTCCCCTACCTGACAATGTAGAGAATTCAATGTCTAACTCGGATGACTTTGACTTACGGTCACCCCCGATGATCTTATTTCTTTTCATGAAAAGCCGGCACATGTAACTCCTGCAGCCCCGACTCACACAGCCCAGGATCATATATATGCTAATTATTCTCTTCTCAAATCTCTGGAATCACCTAGTGGCTCTGGGACCAAAGTACAATTTACCTATAATTCTGCAGGCCCTCCCCCATCCACTTCAGCTCCTCACCCTTCTGTCGTTTCGGTTCCTCAACCGGTCACTTTACCATCCACTCAGCCTGCTTCTCTGTACCCTTCTTCACATGTGAACAGCAGTAATCACCAGTATACTTCTGCTCCTTCTGCTCCTCCAATGCCCCTTTCTCACACTCTCATCCCGGTCCAACCCTCTTACCCTCAGTTTCCCTTATCTATACATGCTTTTCCTGTCACTTCTACGCCAACTCCATCTCAGATGCCTACTCTTCAAACTTCAGTGCAACACTTATTACGCCAAAACAAAGAAACAAGTGGATTAGACGCATGGACTTATCCGGTCGCGCTAGACCCACCTAACGTCCAAGGGTTACAAATGATCATTATGTACCTCTTAATCTTACCTTTTTAAAACAGTTTAAGGAAGCTTGTACTCAGTATGGTCCTACTTCTCCTTATGTTAAGATGGTTTTACAAACTTTTTGTATGGAGGTCACTTTACTTCCTTTAGATTGGGACCTTTTGGCAAAAGCTGTTCTAACCCCATCTCAGCGTTTACAATTTCATACCTGGTGGTCAGAGGAGGCCCGTTTGCAGGCTCAGCTAAATCGAAGTAATGGCATTCTAATTACTCAGGCTCAGCTCACAGGCTCCAATAGTTTCTCTGATACTTATGCCCAATTAAACTTTGATGCCCTCACCACAGAACAAGTAACAAAGGTGTGTATGAGAGCTTGGGATAAATTACGCGCTACAGACCAAGCTCCTGTTTCTTTTACCATGGTTAAACAAGGTCACTCTGAATTATACCCTGATTTTTTAGCTAAATTACAAGACGCTGTTGAAAAACCTGTCTCTGATGAGCACGCTCAAGGCATTCTCCTTCGTATGTTAGCTTTTGAAAATGCAAACCACGAATGTAAAATGGCCATGCGTTCTGTCCAACGACAAAATTTACCTGATCACAAGGTTTTGCCTGCATATATTAAAGCTTGTGAAGGCATTGGATCAGACACCCACAAAGCTATTCTGTGGGCACGGGCCATGAAGGACACCAACCAAACTGGTCCCACTAATTCTTCTCTTGGAGCCTGCTATACTTGTGGCCAACTTGGTCATACTGGAAAAAATTGCACTGTTGAAAACTTACAAGCGGCCAAGCCGGCTCAACACACATGGCCAAATGCTGCTCCTACTGTTTGCCCACGTTGTCGCAAAGGTAAACATTGGGCAAATATTTGCCGCTCTAAGTATGATATAGATGGAAACCCCCTGCCACAACACCAGGGAAACGGGGAGCAGGGCTGGTCCCAGGCCCCAACATCAAATGGGACACTTCAAACTCACACCAATGTTGCATTTCCACTTCAGGCGGTCCCAACGCAACCCCCAGCACAAACAAATCTACCTACAGCCAAACCAAATGGGTCCCAACAAACCAAATGGGTCCCAGCCTCTCCTTCTGTCTCAGTACAATGCTTGTCCACCTCCACAGTAGGAGGCGGGGTGGTTGATCTCTGTAGTACTATTCTTCTGAATTTACTACCTGATTCTTTGCCTTTGATTGTCCCCACGGGGGTCACTGGCCCTTTACCTCAAGGTTCGGTGGGCCTGGTGTTAGGTAGAGCATCTACCTCTGCTAAAGGAATCACCATTCATACTGGTCTCATTAATTCTGATTCCGTTGATGAGATTAAATTAATCGTGTCTGCCAAGGTTCCTGTTTCCATTCTGGCCGGTGAGTCAATTGCTCAATTGCTTTTACTACCTAATACCGTTTTAAACAAAGGAGATAAGGCACGTGGCCCTGGGATGGGCTCCGGCGGTGAAAAGGCCGCTTATTGGATTAATGTAATTTCTAAACAAAGGCCCACGTGCACCATACACATTCGAGGAAAAAAGTCTGAGGGCCTAGTAGATACTGGTGCTGATGTTTCTGTTATTTCCTCTAGTTTATGGCCTTCCTCTTGGCTTAAACATCCCGCTAACATGGGACTAGTAGGTGTTGGAAAGGCTGAGGAAGTTTATGAGAGCACATTTATCTTGCCTTGCACTGGCCCTGATGGTCAAAAGGGCACAATTCAGCCCTATATCATGCCAATTCCCATTAATCTTTGGGGTAGAGATTTACTGGCACAAAGGGGGACTGAAATTAATATTCCACATAACTCTTATAGTGCTCCCAGTCAGCATATGATGGAAAACATGGGGTTTGTTCCTGGACTCGGTCTCAGTCCAAAGCATGAAGGGATTACTAAACCCCTCCCAGTTACTATAAAAGAAAACAGGGCTGGTTTAGGTTATCCTTTTTAGTGGCGGCCGCTGCCACGCCTCCGAATCCTATCCCTTTACAATGGAAATCCGACATACCCATTTGGATTTAGCAGTGGCTGCTTTCTAAAGAAAAACTGGAGGCTTTAACTCAATTGGTTTCTGAACACTTACAACTTGGAAATGTGGAATCTTCTCTTTTCTCTTGGAATTCTCCTGTGTTTCTAGTAAAAAAGAAATCAGGCAAATGGCGGATGGTAACCGATTTAAGGGCCATTAATGCTGTAATTAAACCTATGGGGGCCGTCCAACCTGGCATACCTGCCCCTGCTTTAATACCTAAAAATTGGCCTCTCATAGTTATTGATCTTAAAGATTGCTGTTTTCATATTGCTTTACATAAATCAGAATGTGAAAAATTTGCTTTTACTATACCATCTATCAATAATCAGGAGCCTGCAGCTCGTTATCAATGGAAAGTACTTCCTCAGGGAATGCTAAATAGCCTTACAATCTGCCAGCTTCATGTTGGACAAGTGCTTTCACCAGTTCGAGCCCAATTTCCCAAGCCCTATATTCTTCATTATATTGATGATATTTTAATTGCTGCCCCCACTGATAAAGAATTAATTGACTGTTACCAAATTTTGAGCCGCTGTGTTACAGAGGCTGGATTACACATCACTCAGGGTACAATTCAACAGACCACTCCTGTTCAATATTTAGGAATGGTGGTCGATAAACAATGCATTCGACCTCAAAAGATTCAAATTAGGAGAGATTCTTTAAAAACTTTAAATGACTTTCAAAAACTTTTGGGTAACATTAATTATTTAAGACCTAATTTAGGCATTCCGACCTATGTGCTGTCTAACTTGTTCTCTATGCTGCTGGGAGATTCCGACCTCCGCAGCCCCAGGACTTTGACCCCTGAGGCTTTACTAGAACTGGAATTCGTAGAGGAAAGAATCCAGACCACCCAGTTATCTAGAGTACAGCCGTTTCAGCCTTTTCAGCTTCTGGTTTTCGCTTCATTACACTCCCCTACTGGACTAATAGTTCAACATAATGATTTAGTGGAGTGGTGTTTTCTTCCTCATTCTGTGTTAAAAACTTTGTGTGTTTATCTAGACCAAATAGCCATATTAATTGGACAGGCTTGGTGCAGAATACTTCAAATTTCTGGATTTGATCCAAATGTAATTGTAGTTCCTTTAAATCAGCTCAAAGTTCAAGCTGCCTTTCAACATTCCGTACTGTGGCAAATTCACTTGGCTGATTTTATTGGCATTATTGACAATCACTATCCAAAAAACAAATTGTTTGATTTTATAAAAATGACATCTTGGGTGGTTCCTAAATTAACCAAGGATCAACCCATTCCTAAGGCCATTACAGTGTTCACTGATGGCTCCAGTAATGGCAATGCCGTTATATGGGTCCTACAGACAAACTTATTTCTACCTCTTATACTTCTGCTCAAACGGCGGAGTTAATTGCTGTGATTACTGCCTTACAGGATTTCCCCAAACCTTTAAATATTGTCTCAGATTCCACTTATGTTGTACATGCCACTAAAAATATAGAAACTGCTACTATCAAACATATTGATAATTCTGAATTGGCTTCTTTATTTTCAAGGTTACAACACGCGGTTTGCCAACATAGACACCCTTTCTATATTACACATATTAGATCTCATACCACTTTACCAGGACCCATGTCTGCCGGTAACCATAAAGTCGACTGTTTGGTCTCTTTTACAATCCAAGAAGCTCAGGAGTTCCATAATCTCACTCATGTCAATGCCGCTGGATTAAAAGATAAATTTGCTCTCAGCTGGAAACAGGCTAAGTTTATTGTTCACAGCTGCCCTCAGTGCCAGGTCTTCGTACTTCCAAATCAGGGACCTGGCGTTAATCCTAGAGGCCTAACTGCTAATGCTTTATGGCAAATGGATGTGACTCGTGCTAGCTCCTTTGGTGGACTGTCATATGTGCATGTCTCTGTAGATACCTTCTCAGGTTTTATCTGGGCTACTTGCCAAACAGGGGAAGGCATGACCCATGTTAAAAAACATCTGTATTCTTGCTTTGCAGTTTTGGGGCTACCATATCAAATAAAGATAGACTATACCGCTGGATATGTTAGTAAGGCTTTTGATTCATTTATGCAACAGTGGGGAATTTCCCATATTACTGGAATCGCTTACAATCCTCAGGGACAGGCTGTGGTGGAACGGGCCAATCGCACTTTAAAAACCCAATTGTCCAAACAGTCTGAACAACCAAAACATGATTTAACTACTCCCCACTCCCAATTACATTTGGCATTGTTTACTCTAATTTTTTTAAATGTTCCTAAAGATAATACTCTAACTGCAGCCAAACGCCATTATACAGGCAAAAAATTCTCCTTAAACGAAGACAAGCCAGTGTTATGGAAAAACTCCCAAACCAATACCTGGGAACCTGGAACAATTATAACGTGGGGAAGATGATATACTTGTGTTTCACCGGGAGATCATCAATCCCCTGTCTGGGTACCCACCAGAAGACTCAAGCTTCAGGTGAATACTGACAATGAAAACCACAGAGAAAAGACGTCTGTGTCAGAGACTGCCCTCAGACGTGGTGAGATCTGTGCCGACTCCACAGAAACAGGCACACCAAATCACAATGGGTTTAAATCAGTCCTCCCTGATGGCAATGGAGACCGATCTAACTAATCCCACTTCTCCTGATTACCTTTCTTTTTCTTCTTACAAACCTAAAAATCTCACCATTTCTATTAGCCTGAAAATAACATCCCTCTGTTCTTCTCTTCCTCCTTCAGCACTGAATCTCACTTACACTAGGTTTTATTTAATGATTCTCCTCCTTATACTTTCTGTCTCACCAGTTTCCTCTCACACTGATTTACCTGCTACACATAATTATTCTTATTGGGCTTATGTGCCTTTTCCTCCACTTATTCGACCTCTCACCTGGATAGATGCTCCTGCAGAAATCTACACTAACGATAGTGTGTGGATGCCTGGAGCAAGAGATGACCATTGCCCTGCTCAACCAGGAGAAGAAGGCACTGCATTTAATGTTACCATGGGTTATAAATACCCCCCTCTGTGCCTCGGACATGCACCTAGTTGTATCCCTCTAGAAACTCAAGTCCAGGCTGTTTATCTTCCGGAAAGATCAGCTACAGATAAAATGGGACATTTGGTCTCTGGCCTCTCCATTTCTCCTTTAAAACAAATGAAAGGAGGAGTAATGGGAGATACCCCATACTTTCAATATAAACCTGCAGGAAAACCATGCCCTAAAAATTTTGAGGGCCCATCTAAAACTTTAATTTGGGAAGACTGTGTTAACTCACATGCAGTAATATTAAAAAATGACTCACATGGTTTAGTAACAGACTGGGCACCAAAGGGCTATTTAAAAAACAATTGCTCCTCTGGCAGAAGGGAATGCCTGGAGGCTACTTATTTTATTTCTTATCAGGAGAACGAGAATCATCATTCTGCTTTGCATAGGAGGTTCAGCTCATTCTTTCCCTTAAAATGCGAAGATAAAGGCATTATCCCCCCCGCACCAGGCCTCATATGATACTCCCCATTCTGAGCCCAGAACACCCAGAACTTCGGAAATTGGCAATTGCCATGTCTGGACTGCGAGTATGGGAAGGGAAAACTATTCTGTCTGTTGTTCCCACTACTGTCCCACTCTCTCAGTATCAACGTAGATCCAGACATTCTGCCTTACTTACCTCCAACCTGACTGTTCCCATACAGAGTTGTGTTAAGCCTCCTTACATGCTGTTAGTGGGAAATATCAAAATTTGGACGAATAATCAAACTGTCCAACGCATTAATTGTCATTTAAACACTTGTATTAACTCCCATTTTGACTCCAGGAAAAGTGTAATGTTGGTTCGAGCTCGAGAAGGAATCTGGATTCCAGTAACTTTGCCCAGACCTTGGGAATCCTCCCCCTCAATACATTTAATTAATGAAGTGTTACAGTGAATTCTAAAAAGATCTAAGATTTGTTTTCACTTTAATTGCTGTTATCATGGGCCTAATTACAGTCACTGCAATGGCCACCACTGCCAGAATGGCATTACACCAATCCATTCAAATGGCTCATTTGTTAATGATTGGCAAGCCAATTCCACCCAAATGTGGAATTCTCAACAAGGCATCGATCAAAAATTGGCAAATCAAATTAATGATTTAAGACAGTCTGTTATTTGGCTTGGAGATCAGGTAGTGAGTCTCGAACATCACATGCAAATGCAGTGTGATTGGAATACTTCGGATTTCTGTATCACCCCGTATTCCTATAACAAGACTGATCATTCATGGGAAATGGTCAAAGGACAACTTCTAGGTAGGGAAGATAACTTATCATTGGACATAACTAAATTTAAAAAACAAATTTTTGAATCCTCTCAAGCTCACTTATCCATCATGCCTGGAGCTGAGGTGTTAGATCAGGTGGCAGAAAATCTTTATGGATTAAACCCCACGACTTGGATTAAGTCTATTGGGGGCTCCACTGTAGTAAATTTTGGAATTATGTTTCTCTGTTTAATCGGCTTGTTTTTAGTGTGCTGGACCAGTCAAAGAATCCTGCCTCAAAATCGAGAGAACGACTAAGCCTTCATCACCATGGCACATTTATATAAAAAGAAAGGGAGAGATGTTGCGGGAGGTCAGGGACCCCAAACGGAGGGACCGGCTGAAGCCATGGCGGAAGAACGTGGATTGTGAAGATTTCATGGACATTTATTAGTTCCCCCAAATTAATACTTTTATCATTTCTCATGCCTGTCTTTACTGCAATCTCTAAACATAAATTGTGAAGATTTCATGGACACTTCTCACTTCCCCAATCAATACCCTTGTGATTTCCTATGCCTGTCTTTACTTTAATCTCTTAATCCTGTCATCTCGTAAGCTGAGGAGGATGTATGTCACCTCAGGACCCTGTGATGATTGTGTTAACTGCACAAATTGTAGAGCATGTGTGTTTGAACAATATGAAATCTGGGCACCTTGAAAAAAGAACAGGACAACAGCTATGTTCAGGGAACAAGACAGGTAACCTTAAATTCTGACTGCTGGTGAGCCGGGTGGAAAACAGCCATATTTCTCTTCTTTCAAAAGCAAATGGGAGAAATATCGCTGAATTCTTTTTCTCAGCAAGGAACATCCCTGAGAAAGAGAATGCGCCCCTGAGGGTGGGCCTCTAAAATGGCTTCAATCTGGGTCATGAAAGATGCCTAGGGTTTCACCGAATGGAGCAAGAGTCCCAGGCAGTGTGAAATGGAATAATTCACACAAGGCAGGTAAGAGTTCAGTGTGACCAGAACTCATGGTTGGGAGAAATGAGAAGTGAGGTTGAGGTGGATCGAAGATAAATTGTGGGTTCTATTCTGGGGTAAATTTCAATACAGGAATTTCTGAAGAAACCATGAATTTAAAGGCAAAATTGTAATTAAGCTTATGATGTTATAAAAACAAATTGGAAATCATACTTGATATGTAATTTCTGCTATGGAAAATGGAATACATAAAATGTCTACTTCAGAGACCTTGTTAGCATCATCAGCCTAATAAAGTGTTATTAACCAGTTATACTCCCATCAGCCAATTAGCAGTCACTTGTAAATATAAGAGCTTTCTAACTTACTGGAAACCATCATTTTGAATATTCTCTCCTCCTAAATTGATGAGTCTACAGGCATCCTCAAGCATCGGTGGTGGGTACTGATTGAATCCCCCTATTGAGAGAACAAAGTTATAGTTAGATTTTAAAACTGGAAATGATGTTTCCTAGGTAAAGAGAATCCCAACAGGAATCCTCTTGAAGCAACTAATGTCACTAACATATTTCAGCAAAATTTGGCTGGGGTGAAAACAGAAAACAGCAGTTAGAAATAGCACTCAAAATTTGATTTCAGAGTGTTTTAGCAGCCAAAGGATTACCAGAGTCATGGAAACAGACCTCCTCAAATTGTTCATCTAAGAGCTAGTTGTGATGCAGGGAAACATGATTTTCACATGCTCAGGCTAACATAATCTAAGAGATACTCTATTCTGATTCATCAAAGGTTTTTCACCCAGACTTACGCTAACGGATCAAACAGAGACAAGGTAATGTTTCATTACTTGATACTGATATCATTTCTGTGCTTCTGCACCCACTAATACTGATTCCTATGAGGAAAAGAATCATAGACAAGATTTTACCTTACTGGTCTAAATAATATGCCTATTTATCCCCTTCCTGATGTTGTTCTATAAATTTTGGAATATGGAGAAGTATGTTACCCTGTCCCATTCTGGAAAATAAAAGATTTTAGTTAAAGAAGGCCTTCAGCCATTGACTGATCCAAGGATCTATGAAAATATCTCAAATAACATCTGTAGTTTTATAATAATCACATTTTCAAATACTAAGATAAGCATTTCTTTCCTTTTTTCTATTTCTTTAAAATGAAAATATATCTTCTGATTAATTGCATCTGACACTTACTGTTGGGTGGGCAAGAATTGTGATGCAGTGGTCATTGCCTGTGCATGTGGGAACAGCAAACATGCCAGCACCAAAACTTGTAGAATTGGGGAGAGCAGTTTGAAAACATTCCCATAAATACCAGCAGAGGAGCCTTTTCACTCCTACAAACCAAGTGGTTGTGGGAAGGCAGCGAATTGGGTGTGTTTAACACTTCCCAGCTGGAAGTCAACAGTAGGCTACTTCTACATGATTGCAAAGCCACTTAACAGCCCAGCATGACCATCTTTGAGTTGTTTTATAGTCTTTTACAAATATTGCATAATCATCAATCTTAATGGCACAAAGAACAAAATTGCATAGAAAAAAATGGATACCAATGACTCTGAGCCAAGAAGTAGCTCACAAGAGTCAAATTCTGAATCAGAAGTTGTTTTAGGAGTGCCTTAACCTGCCTATTTCACATAGATTTTCTTTTTATGCATGCACAGGAGTGATATATTTACTATACATCCAAAAGAACTCTTTCAATTGCTATAAAACAAAATGCTCTAATAGGAAAGTTGGTATCAAAATTTAATTGGAAACATTTTTTTCCTTTACATTATACAATTGAGGGCATCTTAGATGTAAAGAAATAACAGTGTTCCCAAGAGGGCAATTATTGGATTCTTTAATTGAATATGAATCACAGGAGAAAGGTGGAGCTCTCCTTGCAATGAAGAGTGAAGGCTCAAGACATTATCACTGTGGTGTTGTGGGGTGATCCTTTGAATAGCAAGGAAACTGGGATTGTAGAGTGGTGGAATTAATTCCAGCCAAGTTTACTTCTAAACCTGTCAGATTTCCAGAAAGAAAAGGTTCAGCTCTGATTCTGTGGGATATTATGGAGAAGTGTTTCTCAACATCAGTGTTATTGACTTTTGGGGATGTATTATTCTTTGTTGTGGTGGGGGGTCTGTCCTGTGAATTGTAGGATGTTTAGCAATATCCCTGACCTCTATTTACTTGATACTAGTAGCATCCCCAAGTTGTGACTGTCAAATAATGCCTCCAGGCATTTCCAAATGTCCCCTGGGGCAAATTGTGCCATATTGAGAACAATTGCTCTAGAAGAGCATTTTTCCAAACCATCTGTGATAGAGGACGAGGTATTCTTATTTCTAGTTCTTTGCAGACTGATACATCCTGTTCAATGAGACAGAGTCCACTGGTCATGCAACTGTACGCTGCAGCAATCAATGTCAAATTGCCTTAAAAGTTTCTAGATGTTTACTCTCAATTTGTGTGTTTATTTCTTTATACATCAATTTGTAGCCTGGCACTCATGCAATGAGCAACCCTTTGTAGTGCACTGGCCTAGAGCCATGTGATCCATGAACCAGCAGCATTGACATTACTGCAGTATCTGTTAGAAATGTAGAATCTCAGGCTTCACCCTAGATATCCTCAGTAAGAATATCCTGCATTTTAACAAGATTCCTGGGTGATGTGCATGCCCAGGACTTTGCTATCTTCACATCCTCACACAGGTCTCCAGGGTGTGCCAAAGTTGGAAATAAAACAGGTATAGCAAGTAAAACTTTTACGTGAATGTTCTTCTGAAATCACCTAACTGCTGCTAGAACTTCTTGAGCAAATGTGATTCATACGACCTCTAGTCACTCTGTGGCTTTCTAGTGCTGAGAGTTTGGCTAAAAGACACACTATCATAAAAAAAGGCCTCAGGCCTCACCATTTTGTGACCAGGATATAAACAGGGTATAACCAGCAAATGATCCATTCCTGCCCCTATCTCACCATCTAATTCATAAATTATGTTTAGATTAGCTATAGATACAAAAATAGGTTATCAATACTGTATTAACAAACACTAGCTTATTAAAAAAAAGACAAACAATGAAATAATAACTTACGCCTGACCGAGTATAAAAATGGCTTTAAGAACTTCGCAATATAATTCAGATCTGGTTTATGTATTCTCCCAAGCTGTATCAGGTGTTGATCAAGTGGGTAGCTGGCTAACTCCTCCATGTCATCCTTACGTGTAGAGCCCAGAGAAATCACAAATATGACGTAGCCTTGACACTTAGCCCTCAAAGCCATCATTTTTACAAATTCTTTTCTCTCATAATTTTCTCCAGCTGAGACCACAAAGATGACCTTGTGTTTTCTTAGATAGGGTGTTTCTGGAAAAAGATTTTCAGTGGTCCACAGTAGGGCACGACCAATTGTTGCTTCTCCATTTAGCTGTTGGAAGGAAGTCTGGATGTGATTCTTCATTAGGAGTTGGTTGTCATAAGTGATGAAATCAAACTCTGTTTTTACTGTACCCATCTTTCTCCTGGAACTTTCCCAAGGAGAATAGCTCAACAAAGCAATCCTATCACCAGAGTCTGAGATTAAAGGGTCTGAAGCAATGTTGAAGTTGTCAATCACTGAGCTCACCAAGGCTTTCACAGCCTTAAACTCATCCTTTGCTATATTCCGAGAATTGTCTATGAGGAAGACTACATCCATGTATGAATCTTCAGGTAAGAAAGCCTCTCGAATGCAAGCATTTGGAAAACATTTATCTGAAAACACACAGAGAGACACATCATTGGTTCAACACTGACCCAACAAGACACTTGTTTGAGATCTTCAAGTGACTCAGTGACTAATTACCAAGAATTATAATTTGATCAATATCTCTTTGATCTCACATAATTTAAATTAATGAGAAATTTTCAATGTCCCGGTACTTCTCCGGGCACTAGCAGACAATAAGGGAAGGGCTTTGTTGAAAGCAGATGTAGGTAGCACAGATACCTGCAGTGTACAAGTCATGTCCAAGCTCATTTAGGAAATATTTTTGATATTTTAGAGACTTCTGATACAAACTACCCAATTGTCCCCAAGAAATGCTACATTGGTTGGGATAATTTTCTAAACCAATTTTCACATTCTATGGAAACTCCAAACATTCCAGAGATTGAAACCATGACATATGGTATTGAAAAACTAGAAAACTGAAAATAGAACCTATGATTAAAAATAGAAATCTCTGGATAAAACCACATTCAATAACTCATCTAGAAGGCATTTAAGCTCTTCAGCACAGTCAATTCTCTTCATTGGTCTTACCATAGCAAAGTGCACAGCGCCGAAGTCTTTCTAATGTTTGATTTTCCCCATTTGGAGGAACTGGAATCACCTGAAATGTTCCAGTGTTGTCAAACTGCATTGGAAAAGAAGTGAACGCATGTTTGCTCATTGTTTTTAGTCACTAGTAGGAAACCACTTTAAGGATTAGTTTAAAAAACACCCAACTAATCACTATTACCTTGCATTATAGCTCTTTGCTCCATTCAGTGCATGTTCACACACACACACACACACACACACACACACACACACACAATCCCCTGCTTATCCCAAACATAACACAAAAAGTATCTATAGAACAAGTATCATCATCCCTAGATTATGATGAGAAAACTGCCATGAGATAACCTGACCAGATTCACTCACTGGGGCAAGTATTAAAATCTATCATTTCCAAGCCTGCAATTCTGGACTAAATTTGTACACACTTCTGATTATGCACCAGCTGATTATACACCACATGCCAGCTTTTGAAGTTGGGCCCTGCAGAAATTGTACGTTCCCAAGCTTCCTTTGGCCTCCGTGGGTAGTGATCCCAACTATTTCCAGTCCACTCTATCTAGAAGAAGGCACATCTCTCAGTTGTCAAGAGGACCCTCTCAATCACAAATTCCACTTAAAAGTCTATTTCAAAAAGCAATGGACAGAATTTTATTCAAAATTCCTGGTGGTACACTGTCTGATTTCTTATTTCCTGATTACTTTTTAAAATACTTTAATACTCACTGTAATGGGCAATATACAGCACTCATTCATTCATTCAGTGAGTCAATAACTCTTTATTGGGCATTTACTCTATGTGAGGCACCATGCAAAACAGATACTTTTATTATGAAAGAAATCTATCATTCCCAGGTGGTGAGGAGGCTATCTCTCCATCAACAAAGATGTTCATGCTTTTTCTCTTTCTCTCTGAGCAAATTAAAGGGCTAGAAAATCCAAACCCTCTGTTTTTCTGTAAAGTGCTGAATCAACATTGGAAAATATTTATAATCATTCCAGCCATATGTTTAGAAACTATTTACTACATTCCTACTCTCTATTTTTATTAAATTGGATGCTTTGGGTGTTATTTTGTATTTGACCTTGTTGGTCCCACATGTAAAGACTAGATGTTGACCTGGTAAACCAAGGAAGTTTATTCATAGGAGTAAACCCCATGCTCTTCATTCATTCATTCATTCATTCACTCATTCACTCATTCATTCAACAAATATTTATTGAATGCCTACAATGTTATAGGTGTAGTTCTAGGTTCTGGGGATATGAAAATAAATGAAACAGATAAAACCTCTATCTTGGCCTGGCGTGGTGACTCATGCCTGTAATCCTAGTACTTTGGGAGGCCAAGGCAGGTGGATCACGAGGTCAGGAGTTCAAGACTAGCCTGACCAACATAGTAAACCCCGTCTCTACTAAACATACAAAAATTAGCCAGGTGTGGTGGCATGTGCCTGTAATACCAACTACTCAGGAGGCTGAGGCTGAAGAATCGCTTGAACCAGGAGGCCGAGGTTACAGTGAGCCAAGATCGTGCCACTGCACTCCAACCGGGGTGACAGAGCGAGACTTTTCTCACAAAAACAAAACAAAACAAAAAAGCAAACAAAAAAAACCCCTCTATCTTACGTTCTAGTGGGAAAGCTATATCATCAACATAATAAAAAAGTAAATTATTTAGTATGTTGGGAAGTAATACTTTTTATAGAAAAAAAACAAAGCAGGATAATAGGGATGGGAAAATCTGAGATAACATTTAAGTAGAGCCCACTGATAACATGACATTTAAGCAAAAATTCAAAGAAGAGGGAAGATGGAGAAAAGAATTTCTGGCATAGGAAATAGCCAGGTGAAAGCTCTGGGGAAGCGAGGGGAATGCCTAGCTTGTGTGAGGATCAGCAGGGAAGACAGCGTGTCTGGGATGGAGTGAGAGAGAACAAGACAAGGAGAAGGTGAGATCAGAGAGTTACTAAGAGGGATTGGGTGGTAGATCATTTAGAGACTTGCAAGCCATTGTAAAGACCTTAGCTTTAACTCTGAGAGAAATGATAAATTGCAGAGTTTCAGGTAGAAGAGTAACCTGGGGGTTTAATAAGATTATTCTAGCTGCTGTGTTCAGACAGACTGTAGCAGGCAAGAATGAATGCAAGGCCACTAAGGAAAAGGTGATTGCACAGTCTAGGCAGAAGATAATGGTGGTTTGGATCAAGATGTCAAAGATAGAGACACTATGAAGTGGTCAAATTCTGGATATATATTTTTTATAAATAATACCAAGATTAGTACTTATATCAATACTTAATACTAGTACTTAAATGAATGCTATATTTACCAATAAGTACTAATATACTTTATTGCACATATGTACACTTTAGTGTATATATGTACATATATGCACTTTTGTATACACGAACACACACAAACACACATATATACGCACACATTAAAGTTAAGATGTTGGATATAAGAAGAGATGAGGAATCATAGATAACTGCAAGTAGAAGAATGGGATTTTTATTAGCTGTGATGAAGAGGGCTGTACGTTGTACAAGTTTTGGGAAAAAATTAGAAGCTTCATTTTAGATGTGGTTAAGTTTGAAACATCCATTAGCATGCAAGTGGAAGTATTGAATAGGCTGCTCTGTGTATGAATCTAGAGTTCAAGGATGCAGTCTGGATGAGAGATAGACATATCATTGAGGACATTTAAAACCCTGAGTCTGGATGAGAGTGTCAAGAGATTGCATAAGGATAGAGAAGAGGGCTAAAGAATGGGCTTTGGGCAATACCGACATTCTGAGGCCAAGGTGATGAAGCCGAATCAGAAAATTAGACTGAGAAGGGACAATTAATGAGGTAAGAGAAAAACCAGGAAGATGAGGTATACTAAAAGTCAGCCAAAAAAAGAAAATGTTTCCCAGAGAAAGGCAAGATCAACAATGTTGTATACTGCAAATAAGTCCAGGGAGCTGCAGACAGAATCAACAGAATCAACCACTGGGTGCAGAAACATGAAGATCACAGTTGACCTTGACATGAGCAATATCAGGAGAGTAGTAGGAATCCAAATGTGACTGGGATTATCTCAAGAAAGAATGCTAGGAGAGGCACTGGAGACAGCAAATATAGACAATGTTTTTTTTCCCTAGGAGATTGCTATATGGGAGCCAAGAAATGAAGGAGTAGCTGAAAATCTAGGTCAGAAAGTTGTTTTATTTCTCTCTCCTGATTGGAATAATGTAGCAGAGAAGGAAAAAAATCCATCTATAGTAGACAGAGGGTCTCTGCCAGCAATAAAACTAATAAATAATACTAATACTAAATAATATAATAATAAATAAATGATAATATATTAAACTATTAAAAGTAATAAAATAGGGGAATGTGAGCAACTAATAACTCTATCCATTTTATCTAACTTCACAAGAGGAAAGATCATGGGTAATTTTTAAAAAGATATACTCTACAGAGAAAAATCAGATTTATAGAGATTTAACCTGCTAATACTTTTTTAAAAATTTAGAAATTTCTAGAATATCAGTAGGGCTTTGCAAGTTTAAATTCCACTTGAGATTGGATCCAGGAGAAAACGGTAAGGCTAACTCTCTCACCACTCCTGTTCAACATATTATAGGAAGTTCTGGCCAGGTCAATCAGGCAAGAGAAAGAAATAAAGGATATTCGAATAGGAAGAGAGGAAGTCAAGTTGTCTGTTTGCAGACAACATCATTGTATATTTAGAAAACCCCATCATCTCAGCCCATAAACTTCTTGAACTGATAAGCAACTTCAGCAAAATCTCAGGATACAAAATCGATGTGCAAAAATCACAAGAATCCCTTTACACCAACAATAGGCAAGCAGAGAGCCAAATCATGAGTGAACTCCCATTTACAATCACCACAAAGAGAATACAATACTTAGCAATACAGCTAACAAGGGATGTGAAGGACATCTTCAAGGAGAACTACAAACCACTGCTCAAGGAATTAAGAGAGGACACAGATGGAAAACATTCCATCCTCTTGGATAGCAAGAATCAATATTATGAAAATGGTCATACTGCCCAAAGTTATTTATAGATTCAATGCTATTCCCATTAAACTACCATTGACATTCTTCACAGAATTAGAAAAAGCTATTTTGAATTTCATATGGAATCAAAGAAGACCCCATATAGCCAAGACAATCCTAAGCAAAAAGAACAAAGCTGGAGGCATCATGATACCTGACTTCAAACTATACTACAAGGATACAGTAACTGAAACAGCTTGGTACTGGTACCAAAACAGACATATAGCTCAATGGAGCAGAATAGAGACCTCAGAAGTGACACCACACATCTAGAACAATCTGATCTTCGACAAACCTAACAAAAACAAGCAATGGGGAAAGGATCTCCTATTCAGTAAATGGTGCTGGGAAAACTGGCTCGCCATATGCAGAAAACTGAAACTGGACCCCTTCATTACACCTTATACAAAAATCAACTCAAGATGGATTAAAGACTTAAACGTAAAACCCAAAACCATAAAAACCCTAGAAGAAAACCTATGCAATACCATTCAGGACATAGGCATGGGCAAAGACTTCATGACTAAAACACCAAAAGCAGTTGCAACGAAAGCCAAAATTGACAAATGGAATCTAATTAAACTAAACAGCATCTGCACAGCAAAAGAAACTATCATCAGAGTGAACAGGCAACCTACAGAAATGGAGAAAATTTTTGCAATCTACCCATCTGACAAAGGTCTAATATCCAGAATTTACAAGGAGCTTAAACATATTTGCAAGAAAAAAACCCAAAAAACCCCATCAAAAAATGAGCAAAGGATATGAAGAGACACTTCTCAAAAGAAGACATTTATGTGGCTAAGAAACATATGAAAAGAAGCTCAACATCACTGATCATTAGAGAAATGCAAATCAAAACCACAATGAGATACCATCTCATGCCAGTCAGAATGGCGATTATTAAAAAGTCAGGGAACAATAGATGCTGGCAAGGCTGTGGATAAATAGGAATGCTTTTACACTGTTGGTAGGAATGTAAATTAATTCAACCATTGTGAAAGACAGCATGACGATTCCTCAAGGATCTAGAATCAGAAATACTATTTGACCCAGAAACCCCATTACTGGGTGTATATCCAAAGGCATATAAATCATTTAACTAGAAAGAGTCATGCACACATATGTTTATTGCAGCACTATTTACAATAGCAAAGACATGGAACCAACCCAAATGCCCATCAATGATAGACTGGATAAAGAAAATGTGGTACATATACACATGGAATACTATGCAGCCATAAAAAGGAATGAGACCATGTCCTTTGCAGGGACATGGATGAAGCTGGAAGCCATCATCCCCAGCAAACTAACACAGGAACAGAAAACCAAACACCGCGTGTTCTCACTCATAATTGGGAGTTGAATGTTGAGATCACATGGACACTGAGAGGGAACAACACACACCAGGGCCTGTCGAGGGGTGGGGGTTGAGGCGAGGAAACTTAGAAGATGGGTCAATATGTGCAGCAAACCACCATGGCACATGTATACCTATGTAACAAACCGGCATGTTCTGCACATGTATCCTGTTTTTTTTGTTTTTGTTTTTTTTTTTAGAAGAAATAAAAAAAAAGGTAAGGCAAACTATTTTAGAGCAGACTTGCCAAAAGAAATAATAATGCCAAAAACAAGGGATACAAGGGATGTGAGGTGAGTTTCACAGAAAAATAAAAATGGGCAATAAACATATGAAAAAATGTTTAACCTCACACAGGAATATAATCAAAACAACAAGAAACTCTTATTTACCTACCCAATCGGCAAACATTTAAAAAGCTCAATAGGTAAAATCCAGTGTGGGTAAGTATGAGGGGAAACAGACACTCTCAGACACCAAGGGTAGCAGCTCTATGCCTTCAGATTTGAAGCAGTGAGGACTTGATGAAGAGGATTGGAAGGAGGGAATTGAGAGAGGGGGACAGAGAGGAGGATGTCCTGAGTGGAGAAGAGTGCAAGGCAGGGAAGAATAAAGAATGACTAAAGGGAGCACTGCTCAAGGCGTGATATGCAGTCAGAATGACTGTGTGGGGTTATTATCTGGCAAGAGCAGAGTGATGAGAACCAGATAGCTTCCTGGGTCACCTTCTCTGTAGATATGATGCAAATTTAAAATGATTTGTTAACAAGAATGACTGGAGACTCTTTCTCATTGGGGATTCTGAGGGCTTTGGTGCAGTCCTATCTGAAGATAAGGATTAAATTTGATGTCTTATTAAGATTTCTTGTATTCTGGAATTTTATGCAACTCTCAAAGCTGAAAGTCACTTATTTTCCCCAGAGAGAAAAATTAAGGAGGCAGAAAAATTTCAAAAAGAAAAACTGAAAACCACAGGACTTTGACTTCCTGCAATCCTTTTTGTCAGGATCTGTTGTAACTCTCTGTGGCTCCTATTTCCAAAAAACGCTTGGATGTGTTAGGAACAGATTGATTCTCTCCATGTTATAGAGAGATTCTTTCTCTTTATATGGTAGAAATTGTACATTTTTTATAAAAATAGACCTTTATAATCTCTTGAAGGACATGATGGCTTTACACAGCTCCAGAAGAATGTATTTTATGGATAATCTGAATATACTGAAAAGTTGTTGAACAGATGAAGAGGTTTTTAAGTTTCTTAGGAGGAAGGGAAGGGGAGCACTGATCCCTTGAGAATCTGTGGATCCAAAAGTGACAGGACCTCTTTTGGGAAAAATGTTCATATACATCAAATGTTTTGCACCACCATAGGGGTTCAAAGATCCCCTGAACTTCTTCCATCACTGGTTAAGGCCAGCTGTTCTGTGAGCAACAGCAAGCAGATAACAAATTTGAGAAACACCAGAGCAGTAGAGGGCTGGCAGGGCAGCATGTTCATGGTCCTTTCTATCACATAGACCTAAGTTCGAATCTCAATTTAGCCACTTAGTAGTGGTATATAGTTAAGTCACTAGAAATCCTCTGGGCCTCAGTTTCCTTTTTTTTTTTTTTTTGACAGAGTCTTTCTCTGTTGCCAGGCTGGAGTGTAGTGGCGCCATTTCGGCTCACCACAACCTCCAACTCCCTGGTTCAAGTGAGCCTCCTGTCTCAGCCTCCTGAGTAGCTGGGATTACAGGCACGCGCCACCATGCAGCTAATTTTTGTATTTTTAGTAGAGATGAAGTTTCACCATGTTGGCCAGGATGGTCTCGATCTCCTGACCTCATGATTCGCCCGCCTTGGCCTCCCGAAGTTCTGGGATTACAGGCATGAGCCACCGCGCCCAGCCCCAGTTTCCTCATTTTTAACATGGAGACAACAGCTGCATTGACCTCCGAGGGCTGTGAGAATGTATGAATACATATGGAAAGCTCTAGGGACAGTGCCTGGCATACAGCACGAGCTGAGCAAATGTGGTTGCTGTTATCATTGACTGTTGTTATTATTCAGGATTGGATTTCACAGACATTGACAACAATATAGCTGTGAAAACTGTAAAGGAGTTTTCAAGAGGCCACATATATTTCTTGACTCTCTACCACTCCCATCCTGCCCTATCACAATACCTACCTCTATCTTAAAATTAAAGAAGTTGCCAAGAGAAATTCTTACCCCAAAAGCTTCAAGGAAAACTCTCTCATCAAAAGCAAAGACTGTTGGACTGATATCCAGGGCACTAAACTCCATGGTGGCCGTGATGATGGATGACCTACTGGCTGTTTGACCATTGCTAAAAAACACAGCAACTCTCCTCACGTTGGCTCCTGCATACGTCCGCTTGAACACGTTGCGGGTCACAAACCTCATTGCATTACCAACATCTCGGGGCTCTGTGGTGTCTTGATATTTTATTTGGGAAAGCTGCTGGAGGAGCTGCTTCTTCCTATTGTAGTCAGACCAGCGGATGAGATAGCTGGTGCCTGAGTTATAGGAAACCATGGCAACTCTTGCTCCCACAGGACAGTTATTTTCCCTGATGTTAAGGTCATTGACAATGGAAGTGATGATGTCCCGTGTTTTATTAAAGCTCTCTTCTGTGACATCGTAGGAATTGTCCAGAGCAAATACTAGCTCTGTTGGATATGCTGGACATTTTTCTAGAAAAAAGAAAAGCAGAAGTATTAAGTTATTTCACTGGATCAAAATCCTTTCCCCAACTCTTTACTCCAATGAAGTGGGTTCATACAGAGGCAAAGCAAGTGCTTCATCCAGCTCTAGAACTAAAGGTACCCATGTGCAAAGAAAGGAAAGAAATCTGGCCTGCAAACTTGAAGCTGTTAACATAAATGCAGAGCATGAATATTTGGCTATATAATGCTCAGACTTCACAGCCCACTATCAATCAGTCAGCTGTGTAAAATGAAATTGGTGGGAGTTCTTGAGCTGATGGAACTCTTCTGTGTCCTGACTGGGATAGTGGTTACATGAATCTACACATTTGGTAAAACTGAACACATACAAAGAGAAATAAATTTTACTGTGTGTAAAATTTAAAAATGAATAAAAATAAATTATAGCTTATTGGAGATCTTGAAAATCTGCTCTCCCCCAAAATCTTCTGAAATGATCTATTAATTATAAAGATAGATGTAAGATTTCCATCCACTTATGCAACAAATATTTGAGTACCTACCACATGAAATGCAGCATAACATTCACTGTGAAATGCATGCAAAGATGAATCAAGTGCAGCACTGCCTTCGAGGAACTTGTATTGGCAAGGATCATTATACTATAAGGTACAGAGTAAAGATTATTCTTAATGAGGATTCAGAGGATAAAGAGGCTGTTTCCAAAAAGGGGCTATCTCAGGGGCTTCAGGAAAGCTGGCTTTCAGTGAAGGCCAGGGTGGCAAGAGGAAGGAAGCAACGGGAACCAAGAAAAGTTTGCAATAAGCTCTTATAAAAATGGGACTATCTGCCATTCCTAGCTCAATACTCATGTCTTATGATGACTGAACTTTAGAATTTCATAGAAAATCTACCCTATGTATCAAACCTCACTTTTCAATGTCCTTGTTAAAGTCTGAACACAGGAAGAGAAAAATGATTTTTCTTTTAATAAGCACTTCCATCTGCTCAGGCTGTTCTCTATCCCCAATCTGGCTAACTCCCAAAGCATATTACACTCAAAATATCCCATATCCCAACCACTGTTCTTAGAAATAAAAATAGAGAAGTATTCATTTAGAGAAGTGTTTTGAATCAAAGAATTTTACCATGAAGAAATTTCAGTAATTTTAAAATATGAAAGCTGATAATAAACAATAGAATAAGAAAAATGAAAGATATATTTAATCCAAATCCATGAAGTTGTATTGAGCACTTACTCTTTGCAAGGTATATTTTTGCAGAATTAAGGTGAATGGCTCCAAACTTGCACCGAGCTTAAAGACCCTGAGGGTCTACATCAGCAGGCCTCTAGGAGACCAGGAGGTTTTGAAATTGACATAGCCACTGGCTCCAATGGCCTTGCCACCCAAGGGCTCTAAGGTGCCATGCAGCCCCGACTACAGGTTAGGCCCTGGGAAGACCATCCACAGCCATGGGCAGGAAAGGTTTACAAGTAGTGGGCACTCAGTGAGATGACAGGTTTGAGTGTGGGCCAGAGGGAGGAAAGGGCACATCTCACACCCAAGAAGCCAGTGTCAAGGGCGTCAGCAGCAGACAGAGCAACAGAACGTGGATTAGTCAGAGAGCCATGTTTACTGAATCCCCCAGCAGCACAGGGCCAGCACTGGGGAGAAACTGACTTGTAAACTGTGATGGGTCCCAGGCTAGGGGCTGGGATTCAGTCACCATTTCATAAACAGGTCAATCATGACACTGACAATTACAGTCATAATCAAAAGAAAGAACTGTCTGCATAGAAGGAAGAAGTCCTGTTTCCCACGGAGTTGAGGGCATCTTTCAGATTGGTCTTGTTGGAATGCAGCAGTAATGATCTCAGCAGGGAACAGCATGGTAAGAATACTCACCTTTCCAGCAAGCTGTGAAAAGGAGAGAGGGAAAAGTTTGTTACCTTCTTGAAACAAGACTAAAAATAGTTCAAAAAACAACATTTTAACAAAGCTGAAAATGTTATTTGAGTCTAACTGCAAATGAGGCTAATTCCTAAGTGACAGGAAGCCAAGGTTAAAGTATTGAGGAAGATGTCAACAGAATTTTATTAATTTGTTAGCCTTCCTAACCTTTTCCATTTGTGAGCCACAGCCAGCAGACTTTAGCAGAATTTTGGTTGAAACTGAAACACTGATCACTTGTCTTAGAAGCAAAAACAGATGAGCCTCTGATTAAACAGCAAGATAGCTGAAATTCAATTTGTTTTGCCTCATCTTATAGCCTTCTGAGAGTCATTCAGCAATGCAAGGCTAAAATACGGGGTCTTATTTTCTTCCCTGATGAATATCTTGGGAGCCTTTATTTTCCCATACAACCATAGGGGGATTTCCAAGTGAATTTTGTCTTTGATAAAAAACAGCTCCTCTGTTTGAGTGATCTCCACATCCAGAGGGAGGAAGAAAAAACCCCAAGCGTTTCTCCTGAGCAAAACAGCATCTGGTTCCCTCAACTGAGAGGAATCCGGGAAAGTATTGATACATCTTTAAGAAACCACAGGCCTGACAATTTCCATGTTCATTTCACTCGATTCCTAGGAAGCAAATGAGTCACTCCAATATAATAAAAGATATTATTAATACTGGCAACGCACCAGCCTTCTGTCTTGCTGTCGTGCAACAGTGGTCCTCTGCCATCCACCCTTGTGAACACCTCTTGTTTGTCTTAACCCCATGGCCCCTGGGATGCTAACTGCCATCAGACAGCACACATAACCCACAGCCTCCTTTGCATCTGTAGGCTCAAAACAGACCCCTTTTTCCTGACTGAGTACTTCCACGTGTTAACTTCAAACATAGCTGCAAGGCTACAAGCACAGGTCGTAGAAGCAGAAACCCCGCTGGGTTTGAGTCTGGAAAAGCTGGGTGACTTAGGGGGAAATTACTTAAACTCTTTTGAACAATTTCTTTAAAGTTGATTTTTCCTAAAAATCTTTACTTATGTGTCTCCCTCCAAAATGCTAATCACTTGGGCCCTTCTGTTTTATTCTCAACCACCCCCTTTCTCTCTTAATTTCCCCCAGCCTTCTAGACACCTTCTTTTATTTTCCAAAGACAGTCTCAGCCTGGCCCTCATCCCTGTATGTCACAGAGCTGCTACTGGACTGAGGAGCAAATGATGTTAGATGAGAAGCCTTGGAAATGTCAGCTATTAAGTGAGGCCATTTAGATCAGCTCTAACGGCCTGTTGCCTGCATCTTAATCTCCAGTCTGCATCCTGGAGTTCCGTGTTATCCAATCAGTGCCCTGTGTGGTTATAGAACTTGCCTACTCTTCTCTGACCTCCTGATTTATGGGCTAATTCCTTTTATTCTATGTTGGAAAACTTCTCCCTTCAAATCCCAAACCCTCCAATGCTGGTCCTCACCTCCCCAGCCCCTTCCACCTACCTTTGGTCTTCTTTGGGAAGACATAATTTGATTTCACTGAGAAGACTGGCAACATGAGGAAAGTTGATCCCACATTCATTTCTCCTACAATGGTTCTTCCCTTTTTCTCTCCCTGTGGTCCCAGTCCCTAGTTCTCATCTCCTCGTGTGCTGAAGGGCCTTTCCCACTATCTCCTCCCTTTGAACCTCCTCTCCATTGCCTCCTTCCTCTTGCCTCCTTGCAAGCTGCCCACATTTGGCAGGACTCTCCCATCTCTGTAATGCCATTTTTCTGTACCTTGGCCCCACTCTTTTTGCCAAGAAACAGAAACTCCTTGAGATTCTGTTTCTGACTCTCTAATTTTACATTTGGAGAAACCTCATGCATCCATGTGTTTTGAAGGACCACCAGCACTGAATGACTTCAACATCTGAGTCTCCTTCCCTCACCTTTACTAAAGCCCCATTTCACTGGGGTCGATCGTTTCATGTAGGGTCTACACAAGATTCCTCTACCCCTAAAATATGTAAACTAATCATCTTCTCCAACCAATTGATTTCCCTTCACAATTCCTCCTCTGCTTACTCATCCTTGGTGACACTCAGCCTCTCCCCTGCTAGCCTGACGGTTATTCTAAACTTGCTTTTTTGCTGTTCTTTCCTTGCCACATACTTGCAATGACAACATTTTTATCTAGTCTCCTTCAGTAAAGTTTCTGATTTTCCCCTTTTACATTCTTCTGATTATGATTATTTAAAAACCACAATGGAAACATAATGAAGAAACACAGATCTCCTAAAATTCCACCTCCTTGAACACAGTAAATCATTGTTTTTCTACTTTTGCTTCTAGTACTTGTTTCTATGTATGTATTTACCTACCTGCAAAAATAATGAGGATTCAATTTCATTTTATAATATTTAATGCCTGTATTTTTCAAAGTTTGATTGTCTTCATAAAAACTATATTTGGTTAATATTTTCTCAGAAGATGATATATTATAACCTAATTATTCTATAAGTGTAAACAGTCTAAATGTATAATCATTTTGCTTTAGCAAATAATATTCCAACAATCATATATTTACCTATATTTTTTCTTTCTTTTGCTGTATTTCCTTGGGACAAATTTTCAGAAATTATATTACTGGGCTTTTCTACCTTATTTTTCCTTCTTTATAACCAAAGACAACCTCTTTATGTTGACTCCTGCTTTATTCCTTTTCTGAAACTATTTTTTGCCACCCCCATCACTTTCCCATAGCTGGATTCAGTTACCCCCATGCAAACATCCTTTATTAACTGAGTAACCGACTAGTCCCAAACCCCCATGATCATCCCTTTAACAACATGCCCTCCCAGTCCTTTCGCTCATAACTGTTATACTAATGTGAGTTAATTCACTCATCTTTTGGGTTTTTCTCTAATTTTCCTATATGCATGTTTTCTCTTGATGTCTGCATTGCCCCTCATGAGCGAAGGCACTTTTACTTATACCCCCTTTCCTCTCTCCTTTAATGTGCAATATTCTACAGTAGGCACTCCAGACAAGCTTGTTACAGAGGCTTCCCACCAGTGAACTCATCCTACTGATCTCACATACCCACACTGCATACAGTCCTAAGTGCCTCACCAACCATTGATGGATGCTCTTGTTCCGTAACAGATACTCACGACTATGTTCCCGCAAAAACCGGATCAGATCACATTGCTGTAAATGTTGAAAAAGGAGAGAGAAAAGAAATGCAAGTACAGTGACTTTTGAGTAACTGTGTTTATTTCCCAGTGAACTTATTGAGTTTTCTTTCATGAATAAGGAGATACATACAGAATATACAGGCTGCCCTGCCATGCCTTTAATGCCCTAGGAAAAACAAAAACAGAGCAAGTTAGTGGTATGCCAACTGAAGTCTTTAGTCTTTAGTAATAAAACAAGACAAAACAAAAAACTTTCTTTCTTAAAAGCACAGCTGGTAGAGAGTAGTTAAAATATTCCTGAACCCAGTGGATTAATTGCCATATATTTTCCCTACTCACATCAAGGGTGTAGATTTTTTCTTTCAGTGTTAGATCAGGTAAGCTAATGTTTACCAAAGTTAACAAAATTATTTTTCTTCAGTGATAAGAAGAAACAAAGGTATTTCTTAAAGATACTTTTACTAAAGATGTAATACTTAGAGGAAGGTATTTCTCATAAGAATGCTTAAAATTATAAACAGCAGACTTTTCAAAGGGCAGTGCCAAGGAGAGTAATTTATTGGGAATTCAGAGGAACAGTTATATTACGCATCAAGAGTGTAAAGCACAGGAAATAAGAAACAGCCTCTACATATGAGAAAGGCCCAAAGACAATTACACAGAAAAATAAACATTACACAAAAGAAGAGTTACAGAAGTGTAACTAAATCATTACAACAAGCTCATAAATGCCAAGAGATTATGGAGCAAAGCAAAACAAATACTTTGGTGAGTTGAATCAGGGAAGACTTCCTGAAAGAAATCAGTCCTTCTTTCTCAGCAGCTTGAGCTTTTCTCTTTGCTCCTTCTTACTTCCATTAATTAGGATCAGGCTTCTCCTTGGCTGTGATTCTTAATATATTTGCAAATATAGGTTCCCTTGGGCAACTAATGAATGCCTGTATGCTCACTTCAAAAAAAATGTGATTTCATGCTTACACTTGTACAATTTCATTGACTCCCTCAGAGGTTCAACCAGGGATGTCGGCATAAGAACCTCTGTTCTAAATGACAACTGGGTTACTTCTTCATTGGTCCATCCATCCAATAAACAGTTAAAGGTCTGCTGAATGTCTATGTGGCCTATTGTGGATTGCTGGAGTTAATCCGAACTGTTGTGGCATCCCCAGTCGTACCCATTGGGACACATTAACCTTCTAATTCGAATCAGGAAATTATGCATCCACGAAAACATGTAGTGTCATTCTTCCTTTTACAAGTTATGGCAGATAACAGAAAAGAATGCATGACCATTTAAACAGAGAGATAAACAGTTTCTGGCTAATACACAGAGTAGACAGTCCACATTTTACAGAGAATCAGAACCATGGAGAGGATGTCCTGAAAGAGCGAGCCCTTAAATAACTTTGAACAAGTTCTTAAGCAGAGGCTGAGGATCAAGAGCTTGAGACAAAGAAGCCAAATTCCAGTCCAGACTAGCTTGGCCAAGCACAAGACCAGGAAGATGTGGGTGTCCCCAGATGAGAGCCCCAGAATCTGAGGAGATAAATCCAGAACAGACCAGATTGGCCCAGAGACTACATTCTCACTCGCATAACTAGGAATATTCACACATTCCTTAATGCCAAAAAAGTAAATATTGTATCAGAGTATCCTTACAGTTAGCTGATTGTCATTCTAATATGGATTCAGTTTTCCACAAAACCATTCACGTTTTTTGCTTTCATAATAAAGTCCCAAGTTCAAGAACCTCTTCAAGTAATCAGAAAATACTCACAATGCACAAAACAAGATAAGCAGCTTATCCACTCCTTACACAATGCTGCCTGGGTCTCCACCACAAAACACAGGTGCTCGCAATATTTAATTCTCACCTGACTGTGCTTGTTAGGAGAGACAGACATGTAACTAAATCATTACAACAACCTGGGAGGCACTAAAATAGAGAGATGGCTATTTCGTCAGTGGGAGATATGCCTGACTCTGCCTGAGAACGCCTCCAGAGGTGCCATTTTTCTTGTAATAGAATCATAGGGGAAGTTGCGCCTATATTTCCAAATCTCTCTGAAGTCTAAATTTTGAGGATAGGAAGGCAACAATAGTGGTTTTGGTAAACTCCATCAACCTGGAGTTAACACTGGAGTTAACCAATATTAACTATTTGCATTGTACTTTATATATTTTATTTACTATTAATTATTTTGCAATGCAATATTATTATTTGTAAACCTTACAGTTTACAAAGAGTATTCACATTTGATTATCTGATCCTCACAGCTACCTTTTGAGGTAGTTAGGACAGAATATGTCATCCACTCATTTTAGAAATAAACTCAAAGACCCAGTGACTGGGTCATATAGCTAGTAAAAAGCAGAATCTGGACTTAAATCCAGTGCATTTGACTTTAAATTCTGTGCCCTTTCCATGGAACATACTGGAAACTACTATATCCTATTTAGTTCTTATGGATACACTTACTCTCTGTCCAGGAGGGCCTGGGAGTCCTCGAGATCCCTCTTCACCTTTCAAGCCTACAGTGAGCTGCAGATAGGAATATATTAATACATTAGTTTCAACACTGTCTATCTATGGGGACTACTTCAGTTTCGATAAGACTTTCTAATTTTAAAAAAAATTTTAAAAAGATAGCAGCTATTAATTGAAGTCAGGTAAATTGCTTACTTGTGATACAAACAATATATTCTTAATGACAGCTAAACATCCATTTCCCTCCTAGCCTCTTTGTGACATACTTTGTTCTGGCACTGGCCGTGCATTTCAATCTTAATTAGCCATAAATTGGGATTGGTGCTAATTGGAAGAGCAAATATATGAGGGTACACAGACATCTAATGAGAAACCTCCCATCTGTAAAAGATCAAATAAGAAAAATGATTCCCTACACTCATAAGAGGACATGAGTGGGCTATGTCATTCTCATACCCCAAAGTGATGGATACGGATACTAATGAAATTTATCCAGCCAGATGGAAAGTATCCATTAAGTTGCATCTTTTTTCACACTGATGGTGACCACTGATATGGCACTCAAACTTTAAAATGAAAGGATGCTTGTCTCAGCATTTTGCTTCTAAGTAAGTAAGCATAATATTCGATTTTGCACTTTGCTAATTAGAAGATCTCAATAGCCTCCCTCAAAATAGCCTACATGACCTTGTGATGGATAGTGGAATTGTCAGAAACCTTCAGGGACACAGTGGGAAGGACATCTTCCCACTGTCACCTTCATTTCCACTCACAGGGTTAATATGCCAAGATTTAATACGCGCCTTAGAAAAGACTGGAAGGCACTGACATTTCTTGGAACAGCAAGTTATCAATTTGTAAATCTTTAAAATAGTACTGATTCATTGAACCATAAACTTTTAGAGCTGAATGTGACCTTAGATGTCACTAAGTTCAATTCTTATGTTACTGAAATAGAGACCCTGAAAAGATGTGTTGAAGGTCACAGCTAGCAAGTGGCATTTCAGATGCCCTTGGGTTGAATCAATAATCCACATTTATTATTATAACATAAAAGCCAAAGTCTGCCAAAGGAATATTTATCATTTCTGGAATTATAGGCTACTTACTGCTAGTCCCCTAAATCCTTTGGGTCCAGGTCCCCCAGGAATTCCAGGATTACCAATATCACCCTGAAGATTCAGATATAAAAAGTCAAGATGTTAAAGTATTTGCTATGAAAGAATTAAAAAAAAAACTCTCTGGACTCAAACTTGATTGATATTATGACAATCATACATTAATGAAGGCCAATACAACATTAAATGTCATCTTTTCCTGTCATTTGGAACTAAGTCATTGGTACACTTATTCTTCAAACTATTTTTAATTTTTTAATAATATAAATATTTACATATACATTTCAATTCAGTGGTCATCCAGTTACTACGAATATCCAAAGAAAATGCTTGAAAACCCAGAAAAACATTTGGAGTATTGACTATATGAAATAAATAATGAATTACTTTATAAATTCATAAAACATTTATGAAAAAAGTTGAGGTGAAAATAATCTATTCTGATTTTTTAAAATTTTGACAGTTATTTATCGACATGCTTATTTCACATTTATCAGTAAGTTGAATTATGCTAATTTTCTCCCTTTATCAGTAAATTGGAAAATTGATCCTCTACAATGAGGACTTTCTTTCTAATGGTGATTTATATTGTCCCTTTTGCACCCTTTTGTACTTAAGAATCTCTTTTGGTAATTCATTCATTAAAAATAGTTTTAAGAGGATTCAGCAGTTGACAGTTTTCCTATACTTTATTTGATTAATTAGATATTCTACTTTTTAACCCATATTTTGTATTTTAATATAAGCATCACTTATGTAGAAGACATTGTTCTGGACTTTTTTTTCTAAGGGAGATCTTTTTACAGAATTCCAATGTATAAAACAGACATAACTTAAGCTACTTGGGTTGAGATGAAAGGTATGTCTGTTCCTACAGCATGAAGATGGATTTCTATCTGGCAGGCAATGAGGAATTCTTGAAGATGTTTGAGTAGGAAAGTGGCATAATTTAGCTATGCTTTGGAAAAAAATCAAGTGACAGTAGTGTTTGGAATTAACTGAATCAGGGAAAAGATGGAAGGAGGAACCCAATTAGAAGGATATTGTAATCTTTCAGGTGAGAGAAAATAAAGGGCACAATAATGAAGAACAAATAGCAATAACCAAAGCCAAGAGTATTGAATGAAATCACCAAGGCAGAAAATCAAGAAGAGAACAGAAGACTGAACTTGAGAGGATACCTGGAGGTAGGCTTTCAAGGCAGAGGCATCAGGCAATGATGGACAGAACAATCTTTTCCAATGTAAAGATTCACAGGGGTTAAATATGATTCTTTCCTCAGGAAGCCCAAGGAAAACAACTGTCCTTGGTTTCTCCTTATTGTCCCCATTTCATTCAGACCTACAGGTTTATCTCAGTTCTCAAGTAGAAGGTTAAGATCATGGTAATTTCAAAAGGTCATGCATACAATACCTTCTGCCCCGCATCTCCAGGGAATCCTCTTGGGCCCTATAATTTTCAGCACAGAACATAAATACATCAACATATCACTTCTGCAGTATGAACATTTCTTCTTGTATTATTTAGTTTGATTCATCAATGAATAAAAATAATTGATTTCCATATTTACCTTTACTCCTTTTCGTCCCATCTGACCGTAGCCTGGGATGCCAGAATCTCCCTGTGTAAACACACCAGTTTTTTTCAATTTCTCAAAGGTGGAAATTAATTTTAATCTATACTGGGGAGATTACAGTGTCAGAAGAGAAGCACTAGGGACTTCCATGCAGAAGGGGCCTAATTGGTGACCTTGAACCCTGGGAACATTGTGTTGCTGTGTTTTCCTCACTCCCTGATATGTTCCCTGTACTTCTTTGACCAGCTCCATTCTGTAAACATTGCAGGAAACAGAGGGGTGGTCATTCAGGACTTGTGGAGTCAGTGGCAGTTTCTTCCCTAGAAAATTAGGAGCTGGTCCAAACAACACAGGTGAGAAACTCTCTGAAGAAGGATTACAAATAGTCAATAGACATACAGAAAAAAATGTTCGTCCTCCCTGGTAACAAAAAAATGCAAATTTGACCCTGCAATGAGATACTATCTTTGTCAATGGTAAAGATGGAAAAAAGTGACAATACCTGTTGTTGTGGATGCCCTAAAACAAACACTCTCCTGAATAACAGGTGGATCCACATACTGTTTGAATTTTCCTAAGGGCACTTCATAATGGAGTTCAAAGCCTTTATGAAACATGTACATATTCTTCGATCCAGCTATGCTACTTTAGAAATCTCTATGTAGAAATTCATTATGGTTTTGTCCAAAATTTTAGTTAGGTACATGAATGTTCATTGCTGTGTTGTTTACCACAGTGAAAAACTGAAAGCAAGCTAAATAACCAGTAACAAGATATCGGTCACATAAATGAATGTTATATGCATTTAGTAGAATATTTTGAAGCTACTAAAAATGATGTTGAGGAAAAATGTAATGACATGAAAATATGCTCACGATACATTGTTTAGAGTGATTTTTAAAAAATTTCCAGGATGATAATGATAAATATCTCAAAATGGTGGATTATAAGTAATTTTCCTTTTCTTCCCTCTTTCCTATGTTTTATTCTGGGTAAATTTTCTTTCCTTCTCTCTCTTCCCCTCTCCTCCTTCTTTCCTCTCTTCCTTCCTTCTTTCTTCCTTTCCTTTTAGATTCATGTTTTCAAATTAGATCACATAAAAAGATACTTTTTAAGACTTGCTGGACCATTCTACAACCATTTAATTTTATGGATAGAAAATGCAATGAAGGAAGACTGAAAGCCTTTATGGAGGCAATGGATTGTGGGTGTAGCCATAAGTCAGAAACTTGCTGTGCCCTAATCATTTTTTCCCCTGTAAGCCTCTGGCTCCTTATGTTTATTTACTATTTTTTTCTTTTTTTGTTGTTGCAATTTTCAAATATACGATATATTGTTATTAACTGTAGTCACCATGATATACAATAGATCTCTTGAACTTATTACTTCTTTCTAATTGAAATTTTGTATACTTTGACCAACATCTCCCTAGTTACCACCTCTGGCAACTACCATTTTAATTCTCTGTTTCTATGATTTTGACTTTCTTTTACATTTCACCTATAAGTGAGATCTTGTTGTATTTAACTTTCCATGCCTGGTTTATTTCACTTCACATAATGTTCTCTGGATCCATCCATGTTGTCACAAATGACCAGATTTTCTTCTTTTTAAAGGCTGAATAGTATTCCATTATGCATACATACTACATTTTCTTTATCCATTCATCCATTGATGGATACTTAGGTTGATCCCATATTTTCTTGGCTATTGTGAAAAATGTTTGTGCTTGGTAAATTTTCTATGATATCTATGTATAACGTTTGTAATAAACATTAATTTTTTAAAAATGAAATAATTGTTCCTATACTGGCTGCTCCATGAGCTGAGATCTTGTTACAGCCAAAGCCATTAGGACAGAGTGCAGGCATAAAAATGTGATGCCCCATTTCTTAGCCTTATTCCTCTATCTCTTATTGTCACCTTAGACTTTTGCAAGAAAGGAGGAGAAATGGGCAGTGTTGTTTTTCAACGGATATGCATCTATGTGGCCATGCTGGTTGTTAAGGTATTGAAATGCCCTGTTCTAACTCATCCATTATCCTCTCTGCCTACCCTCATTCTCCTGCTTGCTGTTCTCCTTCACGTTGACAGACTATCTATGGAATGAGAGCTTTAGGGGGTGGGAGAAATGTTCTCACATTTTCCTAGATGCTGAAATACCTTTCATGCCCCCCATAATTGGGCTGAAGGTGTCAACCCCTTCTCTTTACCTTGGAACTGAATACCCAGATCTGGGGAGGGTAGGGACTTCAAAACTTCATACCTGTCTTCCTCGCTGCCCAGTTTGCCCCACTGGCCCTAGATCTCCAGGAAGTCCAGGCTCTCCCTAGTAAGTGGGACAAGAAGAGCTTCAGATCAGTAAAATCAAACCTGGTTCCTACCACGGTAAGTTCTGTCCACTCGATGAGGAGACTCAAGGTTCTCAGTGAGGGGTCAGTGCTCACTAAGGGGATGAGTGTAGGGCACAAATTATGTTTTTTTCATAGCTAGCAGAAGATGTCTAGCACAGCCCAGAGCTGGACTGGTGTGCTGCTTTTCCAGTGTTATAAAAGTACTGAAGGAGAAGACAAAAAGTAGAAAATTGACTCCAGGGAAAGTTGACTCATTTGCTGATGCATTTGCCTATCCAACAATTACTTATTGAACTGCAAAATAAACACATTAGGGGAGGTCCTGTCCTCACCTGGCTGGAAAAAGAAATTATTAGACAGGCAATTATAATATTGTGAGATAAGGTTCAGGGTGCTATGGAAGCAAACAGAAGGGGAGTCTAAGTCAGATTTGGTGAGCCTGAGGAGGCTGCCGAAAGGAAAGGAGCAGGGAAGCTGAGGACTGAAGGATGAGTTGTATGTCAGGGGACTGGGCAAGAAAGGGGTGAGAGTGATCCAGGAAGAGGGAAGACATTAGTGAGAGGCCTGAGGCAGGCACGCAGGAGGGAGGTAAGCAGTGAAACCTTAGAATGAAATGGGGCAAATAGCAAAGGGCCTTGTAAATGACCCCCTACCTTATTAACAAATAATTGCATATGTTTAAGGTGTACAACATGATTTGATATACATATATGTTGTATAATGATTGCCACAGTTAAGTTAGGTAATGTATCTATTGCCTTATCTTGTTACCACTTTTCCTTTTTTATTTTTGCTTTATGTTGACAGCATTTAAGATCTACTCTCTTAGCAAAATTTCGAGTATACAATACTGTATTTTTAACCACAGTCACCATGCTATACATTAGCTCCCCAGAATTTATTTATCTTGTAACTACCTTAAAGTTTGAATATTTCCTGGAGGCCATGGGAAAGCCAAGACCCGTGATACAATTTGCTGGGCTCAGTGTAAAAGGAAAACTCAGGCCCCTTGCTTAAAAAATGAGATTCAGGACCATGACAGCAGAGCATTAAACTCATCAGGGGGTTCTTCTCAGCAAGGCCACCTGTGTGGCTGCACAGGTCACAGGACCCTGGAGAGGGGGCCATTGAAAGGTTTTAAACAGGGGAGTCAGATTCCGATGAGGTTAATCATTTGCTCTCTGACGATCCCCAACAGAGCCATCTCAGAGATAGTCGTGGTTCGAGAACCACATGCACCAACGGATTTGAGTTCTGATGCCACCCATCCTCCACTCAACTCAGCAACCACATGCATTCTTGGATTCAGGAAATCAGGGAGTGAAAGAGATCTTTTAGAGTTGTTTCTGATGGGTGAGATCACTCTCTCCTAGGGAAAGGGGGCAGTTTCATGGAGAGGTCAGCAGTTAGAAACTCTTTGCTCAATGGAAGGAAGAGTACATATTAGTGGAATGCTGGTGACTTGCTGATGGTGCTTGGATTCAATCACATGAGGAATTAACATGAAAATCAGGAAGAAAATGGAGGTACTTTGGTATTTGAAATCCATAAGAAATATCATTTACTTTTTTCAAGAAGGAGTTCATGTCCTCTGCAGGAACATGGATGAAGCTGGAAGCCATCATTCTCAGCAAACTAACACAGGAAGAGAAAACCAAACACTGCATGTTCTCACTCATAAGTGGGAGTTCAACAATGAGAACACATAGACACAGAGAGGGGAACATCACACACTAGGGTCTGTCGGGGGGTGGGGGCCAAGGAGAGGGAGAGCATTAGGACAAATACCTAATGCATGCGGGGCTTAAAACCTAGACGATGGGTTGATGGGGGCAGCAAACCACCATGGCACATGTATCCCTATGTAACAAACCTGCATGTTCTGCACATGTATCCCAGAACTTAAAGTAGAATTTAAAAAAAGAAAATATCACATTGTACCTCATAAAAATATGCAATTATTAATTATCCATTAAATATAAAATATGTTTTTAAAAGAATTAAAAAACAGAAATAATATCTACTTTTTTCCCCAAAAGTCCAGGTCTTCCAGTGCTCCCTTTAGCTCCCATTAGCCCAGGAGAACCCTGAAAAAAAAATTAGAGACTAAAATGTTGGCACCGTAGTAATTCTTAGAAAGCCCATTAGAAACATTTCACTTTCCTTCATGCTATTCCCAACAACTCCTTGATGCAGCCTTAACAAAAGATCCAGCCACCCAGGAGGAGAGAAGCAGATGGCAGAGCTGAACCAGATGACTCAGGTTCCAGTCCTAGTTAGAGGACCACATGTTTTAATCTGCAGGGACATCACTAGTCCATACGGGGCTTAGTGAGAAAAAGAAAAGGCACCCTTGAGTCAACACATGCTATTCCCAAATGTGGGAAAATTGTCATAATGCACTGATTTTTTTAGAAGAAGACACTTTGCCACCTTTGTGCCCGTACCATATGTGCATACATAACGGCATGCAGGATATGTTTCAGCTTCCCAATAAAAAAATGGGCAGACGTGTCTTTCACACACATATTATCAGAAAGATAACTGACCACACATGCTAGGAATATAGAAATATGGGTATCCCTTGCCTTGTGAACTCTCACCGTCTGAGCAGAACTGAATAGATTTAGAACATTTTTCCTACACATCCTTCACCATTCAAACTCTTATTTCTCAGGAAACAAACAGGTTCAGATGGGGAATTCAAGAGGTGAACATAGGAATCAAGTAGGTTTGAGTAGCAAGGGATCTTTGTACAGTCAATTTTAAATATCTATAGTGAATGGAGACATAGGTGCATGGCATGTATAACTTTTAAAAGTTAGAAAAATCAGAATAATGTATCAGTTTTTGGAGAAAATGTTATGATTGGGCAATATTTATATTCTTCCAAATGCTTTCTTTAGGCTGATGAAATGGATCTGTGCTTTCAGAGTAAAACCCCAGTGAAGGAGAAAGAGGAGTGCTTTAGCTACGTATGAGGAATCTGAGCTGCGCTAGAATTTTGCCCCAGATAATCCAAAAATGAAATAATATATATGTAAATAATACAAAAAATTATATGTGAAGATTTTTTTGCACTAAGAGGAAAATAACTGTTGAGAGTCATTGAGCCTAATGTCTCCGAGTCACTCACCTGAGGTCCTTTCTGCCCCTGGCTTCCTTTTTCTCCTTTTCTGCCAGGATTTCCCTGTGACCCCTTTAGTGGTAACAAAGGAAATACAATGCAATTATGTCAATGAAAGCTTACTTCTCAGTGTTTCTTTTGAAACACCCTGCAGAAAAGCAATGGTCCAGCCCTTCCCACAGCCTTTTAACCCTGAGATTAAGCATGTATTAAGAGTCATTGAGGACAGGCCCAGTGGACTCAGTGGTCCAGATCTCTTTAAGGAATTCCCGGCCTGGATATAAGACCTTCATCCCTCTTCTACAGAGGAAATAAAAATAGGCCAAAGCGGGAAATGAAACCTATAAGCAAAGGAAGTAAGACACAAACAACAGTCAGATGAATTCCTTTAAAGGGACGGGTTACCTGAGCCAAAGCCCTTATTAATGTGTAAAGTAGAGAGTAAAGTTGTTTCAAGTTAGCACAAAAGGGCGTCTTAGCAGCAGACCTCTATCAGAAGAATCAAAGTCTATTTTTCTGCCATATTTGCCATCAAACACGTGGTTCTCATGCGGTTATCTCACACAGAAGCAAAAACTAGAGGTGGCAGTAACGTTTCTTCCTATTGAAGTACCAGCTGTGAACTGGCCCTGGGCTGCCCAGGAGCCATCAGGTGAGCCTTGATTCACTGTCTCAGTGTCAAAGGGACCCACGGGTGTCTGAGGTATCTGAAGTAACTGTCATTGCCACCCCCACATCCACCCCAAAGCCTGGGAATGGATCTAGGCTGGTCCCATCCCTACCCAATCTAGAGAAACTGCTAGCTCATAGCTTGGTTCAGGGACCCCAGAACCACTCAAGAGAATCCCAAATTCCAGTTTGGTCCTAATACCTGAATTTTCTAGAAAATAATGAATTCCTGGGAAGACCTTAGAATAGGCACAGCTACACAGGCCCTTCCATACGAGTCCAGGCTTAAGGTGGGCTTCATGTAAAGTGGGCTTCATAAGATGACTAAACAACCATGTGCTACGAAGCTACTCTCCAGAATGACCACAGCTTCCCCTTCTGTCACAGAGGGAAGTAAGACAATGATGCTCTGACTTCCGGTGCTCACATGACTAATGATATGACCATGAAAGATGCAAATGGCTCACAGAAAGCCCTATCAGTCATATTTCAGAAATACTGATACCCCTGTAGAGTTAGCTTTAAGCAAGTCGAGTAGCAGTTTCCAACTTTCAACTAATTTTCCTTTGTGGGAGCCTGTGTATGCAGGACCCCAGCTATGGAAAACCAATTTGTTGATCCTGGTGTTAATTATTAATGTAATATGAAGGTATTAATCATTCACTATTACTAATAAGAAGACACAATACCAGGTGAGCACAAGAGCACATCTTTCCTCTACAAAGGCTTATTAGTGACCTACGAACAACGAAGCAAGTTTGATGGAATGAAATCACCCCCCACCCCATGATAGGGAATGCAAAATAGGGCAGGGGGCAGATTCTCAGTTATTTATTTTTATACAGAAATACCTGCCTTCTTCCCATCAGAATAACTTTACAGCATTTATCAATATTTACAAAATATTCCAACACACCTGTGGGCCTTGTAATCCTTCAGCTCCCAATGTGCCTGTAGGTCCAGGATTTCCTGGTTCTCCCTGATGAACAAGAGTTTCCAGTGTCAAGCATTTCTACACGTTGTTTCCATATAGATTTTCTTTTCATACTATTTACATCAGAAATAGGTACTATTTTGTCTGACTTGTGGCTCACCCTCTACTTGGCCTAGGATTTTACAGTTCTAGACTGTCTAAGGAATGAACATAAACTTGTTTCTTACTCCAATAAGGAATTTCTCTCTCTTGAAGTTGATTCCCAAAGCACATGAAGAGCAGTCAAATGCACAATATTTGGAATTGCACAGGTTCTGCCTGTCTGCCAGGTATCTATCAGGGAGGCTTTTCCTTAGGTCTGTTCTGTTCCCGGGAGCTGCAGTGATTATTGGGTCAGTGGGGATCACGTCCAGTACTGGGCACTTCCTATACCCTTGTAAAATGCTCATTGATATGATTCCCAGCACCACCTACATGGGAGAAACCTCCTTGGTCCCATCAACCACAGAGAACAGGAAGTCAAGGTTACTTACTGAGACACCTCGGAGTCCCCTTTGACCTTCTCTTCCCTGGGACAGAAAAGGCAAACTGTTAGTATGTGGATGTCTGAATGGAGGGGTTCCTTGAGGCAAATCAGCCTCTTTCATTCTCTGCTAGACATAAGTAATGAGCAGCTCACAGAAACAGTTTCCCTGAGGCATTTTCCATAGACAAGCTTTCACACTGGGCACTTAATTAGAGACTAACATTTGGGGGACTGATTGCAAACTAATCTAAAAGTCATTACAGACCCAGCTCCAGTCTGACAGCCTCTAACAATTATCCAGGAGGCTGTTTAGAGAATCAAATCATCCTGAAGATCCTGTCTCCTGTATTTCCCTCTCCGGCAAATCCCAAAAAGCACTGTCTGCTAATCAGAGCCTTCCCATGGGAGAAGAGCTGTGGCACATCCATTTCTTTCTGTCCTGGGCCCCTGATTGTATCTCCTTTCCAGAGGGTAGCCAAATGGGAAAAGGATTCAGGCCCCAGATCCTAACTTCCTTATCCCTAAACAGCAAGAATGAGATTTGCACCCTCTTATCACCCCCTCAAACCCTGTCTTTGCCTCCTTGAGAGAGCTGTGGAACATCTCGACCACCAATTAACTTAGTGTTGTGATAAACAACCATGATTACTTTAGGTAAAAAGCAAGTACTTTTGAAAATTCTATTTCTTCATTCATTTATTCAGAAATGTAGCCATGGAAATTATTTTGGAACTGCTGTTTTCTTTCAACTGCCCACCTTCTGAAGGTCCTTAGAATAAACTATCAGATCAAGTATCAGCTCCACCAGGTTGGCTATTGCTTACAATGTTTCCACTGAAGTTCTGCCCCTTGATTCAAGCTACTTTTTGCTTTTAAGATGCAAATACTCTTTGAAAGAAGTTACCCATTGAAACTTTTCAGCTGTTTGTACCCAGAATCAATCTCCAAAGCTCTTGACATAAAAAAGCAGAGAAGAAACAGTAAACAAAGATTGAGGCCTCGGTTCCTATAACATCACAATTCTGTCTTCATTAAAAAGCAAGGATAAAATAATGTGTATTCTGTGTAACAGACTATATGCACAATGGTTAGAGATATGTCCTTGAAAATCAGGCAGACTTGAGCTCAGTTTTGTTCTTTAAAGCCTGTGTGGCACAGGGCAATTGCCCAATAAACCTCACCCAGTGTGGTTAGCAGCCCAGACTCTGGAGGGAGACAGACTGAGTTCAAATCCCAGCTGTGCCACTTAGTAGTTCTTGTGACCTTGGGCAAGCTGCCCAAGGTTTCTTGATTTTTTCCATCTGGAAAAATGGATATAATAATAGTATCTACCTCACAGGTATGTTATGAGGATTAAATGAATTAATATTTGAAAGTGATTTGAGCAAGACCTGGTGCAAAATAGATGCTATAGAAGTATTCTTTGTGTATGGCAGGCAAAAAGCATAGGGCCTTGAATGTGGATTCCAGTGTGGTTTTCAGTGTGTGGATCCATTGTTTTGGGAACAACGGGTAAAACAATTAATTTACATAAGTTGAAATTCTGTCACATAGAAGACAATGTCTTGGATTGTCTTACGTTGTTTAAAATTTATCATCCACTTAAGATGCTCCCACCCTCACAGAGAACTCTATTCTGCGTCGGAAAGTTGGGGAGAGGGGAGAAAACCTGATGTTGTTTCATATCAATGTTGCCTTGTTTAATTCAGGAGAAAAGAAATTACAAAGGAGGAGGTCAGCAGGGAAATGGGTAGATGAGGAGGGGGCCGAGAGCCTCATGTCCTGTAATTGGCTGGTTTGTCCATGATTTATTGCCTATACCACTCCTGGCATCTCTTTTTTTAAAGTACCTCATTGATGTGTCAGTTATAAAGCTATTTTAAACTAAAAGTATTTCCTCTTAAACCAACAAAAATACACACTTATCTTTAAAATTTATAGCATTTAGCTCATCTTGCTGCTCTACTGCTTCCTCTTATTACATTCTAATTCTCTTGTGTGAAGAAGAGGGCAAAGTCCCAAAGAATTTTACCAGAAGCACTGGAAAGCCTAACCCCTTCCAACTCCAGCTCTTTTCCTTTAAGAATTGTGGTTCAAGATAAACAAAGGCAAGTGGTATAAAAACACATTTCTTCACCATCTATCCCAGAGAGAAGGGCAATCAGCCACAGCCTTCAAAATAATAAGATTCCAAATTTGTACTAGAAAAGAAATCCAAGCATTTTCAATTCCTTCTTGAACAAAACTCAGAGCCAAATCTAGGACTTTGTCCATTATTCTCTTCTAATGATGTCCATGCTGAGCGCATGAGAGAGGAGTTTTTAATACATTATAAATATCACTTCCAGCTTCAGTAGTCTACAGAAGGAAAGGCGATTTCTTGGTTGCTCCTTTTAAAAAGATATGGAAGTCCAATATCCCCATTTTTTGCTGTGATAGGCTTGATATAACGTGGGATGCTGTAAAGTTATGCCAGCACCTCAAGGTTGCCACTTGACCCTAATTGCCAGTGCTTTGGCCCATTTAGGAAGAATTTGTTTGTGAGTCCTCTTTCTCATTGGCAACATGTAAAGCGAAAGTATATTTACCTAGTTCATAGTATTCTTATGTAAGCTACCAAAGGAGAGCTTTTGTGTCAAAATCATTGGCTCTCTTCAAAGACATCCCAAAACACCTGGAAGGTGGAAAGGGAAAGGCCAACTATGTTACAGTCGTTTCAACCAGGGGTGATTTTGCCTCTCAAACTCACCACTACTACATCCACCACAGACATCTGACAATATTTAGAGACGCTTGTGAATGTCACAAGTGGGCAGTGGGGAGGGGTGGTGCTACTGATACTAGTGGGTAGAGACCAGGGATGCTGCAAAACATCTGGCAATGCATAGCATAGCCATTCACAAGAAATAATTATTGGCCCCAAATTTCAGTAGTGTCAAGATGGAGAAGCCCTGAAAAATATTTCAGCCCTGAATCAGCCAACTGTGCACAACAAATATTCTGAATGCCTCTGTCATCTTCAAGTGGCAAGGAGGGGAAATAAATGTCCACAGAAATACTTACCCTGCTGCCTCTGGAACTAGGACTGCCTTGCACCCCTTTCTGTCCACTTCTACCCTAAAAATATAATAATTTCCTCAAGATCAAAAGGAAAAAATTCTGAATAAATCACAAAGGCATCAGCATCAAAACCTCAAGCACTATTAAAATGGCAGAATAAACATGTCATGCTGTGATCATTCTGCATATTAACAGTTATATGCCCTTTCAAGAAGAAAAAAGTATAGCAACATTCACTGCTACATTTTCCAAAATAATATCACTTGCCAGAAACTTCATAATTTTGCTCTTAAAAGTATACCCTACTACAAATATGCATCATCAAAAAATAAAGGTCTTTTCAATGTGGTCTTAAGAGCATTTGTTCAATTACAGAAGGGTTACATATCTTACTAAATTTACTTGGATCAATAACAGAATTAATCAACTCATAGATAAAACAGATCAAATTACTTGTCTTCCTTGTTCTCCTTTGGAGCCCTTTTGTCCTTTGATGTTATTGTTTTGTCCTGGATTACCCTAGAGAAAGATTTTTAAAAGTAGTTTAGAATCCAGAAATATCAGCTTTTTCCCCAAAACGGTATGATGTTCAAGTACTAAGCTAATTTGGGTCAAGCTATAAGAGGTGTGAGAAATTTTTTCATATTCGAAACTCACAGGATTTTGGAAAAAATCAAAGCAGTACTTCCTCAAGTTTGAAGAAGATTTGGCAATAAATAAAGAATTAAAAGGGTGCCTGCTACATGGTGATTTTCCCTTTTCTATGATGGCAGCTTCACTGATGCACTGGTTCAAATATTCTTAGGCTATTCCCTCAAGGGTGTAAAAAGATTCCCCCGTAACTAAGTCTGCAAATAGTGAATCTGTAGGTCTGCAAGATTAGAAGTCCAATAAATAAAGCTATGGAAATGTTCTCCCAAAGGAACCAGAAAGTCTCAGCGTACCATAAGGATTCAGAAGATGGGCCTAACCCAGATAAGACACAAACAGACTTTTCCCAAAGCCTCAGCCAACACCTATCACCCCTACTCCTAAGACAACCATTTGCCTACAGGGTAGGCAGGAAACACAAAGGGAAAGGAGATAGGAACTGTGGAGCAAGTATAAAATTCAGAGCCAACTGGGCCCTAGAAACTTACCGGATCCCCTGGGAAGCCCTTCTCTCCATACTGCCCAGGGGCACCTCTGGAACCTGGGCTGCCCTGAAAAAAATGAAATGAATTTCTGAGTTAGCTTGTAGGAGGCTTGTATAATGGTGTTAAGTGTGAAGTTTTGTATGTAGGGGGGTTAATCAGATAAAATGCTCTTTGTCCTATCACAGTCAGATTCCCTCAGACTTCTCAAGCAGTACTAAGTCCAGTTTTAAGCCTATGGTCAGGATTATTTGTAGCGAGGCTCAGAAACTGGAAAACTTCTCGTGGTCTAACATAGCACTGTCCAATAGGAGTTTCTGCAGTGATGGAAATGTTCTATATCTGCATTCATCAATACGGTAGCCATTAGCCATATGTGGCTATTAAGCACATAAAATGTAATCAATGCCACTAAAGAGCAGAATTTCTTAATTAATTAAAATTAAACTTTAAATAATCACATGTGGTTAGTGGCTATGGTATTGGACATCCTAGCCAGTCTAGCAACTTCCAACATCTATAATTAAATTGCCCACTGAAAACTTCCACAGGGATGTTCTATCGGGGGAACCAGCCCCCAATATTTCAACGTAGTTTCTTTTCTATTTTCCCTAAGTGTCACTAGTCTAAGAAATAAAGGGAAAGAGTACAAAAGAGAGAAATTTTACAGCTGGGTCTCTGGGGGTGACATCACATGTCGGCAGGTTCTGTGATGCCCCTTGAGCCACAAAACCAGCAAGTTTTTATTAGGGGTTTCAAAAGGGGAGTGGTGTACGAATAGGGAGTGGGTCACAGAGATCATATGCTTCAAAGGCAATAAAATATCACAAGGGCAGAGAGACAGAGTGAGATCACAAGGCCAGGGCGAAACTAGAATTACTGATGAAGGTCCACGTCCTGCTGGGCACACATTGTCATTGATAAACATCTTAACAGGAAACAGTGTTCGCGAGCAGACAACCAGTCTGACTAGAATTCGCCAGGCTGGAATTTCCTAATCCTAGCAAGCCTGGGGGCGTTGCAGGAGACCAGGGCGTATTTCATCCCTTATCTACAACTACATAAGACAGACACTCCCAGAGCAGCCATTTTAGAGACCCGCCCCCACCCCCTGCCACCACCCCCACACCGGGAATGCATTCGTTTTCCCAGGGTGATTCCTTGCTGAGAAAATAATTCAGCGATATTTCTCCTATTCACTTTCTGAAAGAAGAGAAATATGACTCTGTTCTGTCCGGCCCCGCAGGCAGTCAGACTTTGTGGTTATCTCCCTTGTTCCCTGAAAATCGCTGTTATCCTGTCTTTTTCAAGGTGCTCAGATTTCATATTGTTCAAACACACATGGTTTACAAACAATTTGTGCAGATAACACAATCATCACAGGGTCCTGAGGCGACATATATCCTCAGCTTACAAAGATGATGGGATTAAGAGATTAAAGACAGGCATAGGAAATTATAAGAGTATTCATTGGGGAAGTGATAAATGTCCATGAAATCTTCACAGTTTATGTTCTTCTGCTGTGGCTTCAGCCTCTGTTCGGGTTCCCTGACTTCCTGCAACATGTTCCATTGTCACCTCAAACCTAATTATTTCCGATTAAACTTGCCCAAGCCAGGATCCTTGCAGGCATATTGACTGACTCTCTATTTTCTGTTCCTCTAGTCACCTATATCTGGAGATTTCAGGTCCTAGAACCAGGACTAGTGTGAGATGAGAGAGGCACCTAAGGTGCAGAATGGAGGTAGGTATTTACTCCACATAACTCTGCCCCTTTTGCACCTTAGGTGCCCTGCTAGCCTCACTTCAGTCCAAACCCCGCTACACCCTTAGCATATTTTGTGTCTGTTCTCACTATCATTGCTTTACTTGAAGGCTTCATCACTTCTCACCTGATTTCTACAGATCTGCCTCTCATCTTTGTCTTGCATCTATGTCATCTGCAAAGTATCGTCCACATTACTGCAAGTAATATTTCTAAAATGTAAATCTGATTGTGATTCTTCTGCTTAAAATCTTTCAAAGGCTCCCCATTGCCTTACGGTTAAAAACCAAGCTCTTCCACATGGCTCACTAGTGCCCTCCCAATCTCTTGATCTCTTCCCACCACCACCTCTTGAACCTCACCTCCCAGTACCTGTATTCTAATGCTCCCTCCAGGAAGTAAAATTTGGCAGTGCCCTGAACCCTCATGTTTTTGCTTATGCTACTCCCTCTGTCTGGAATGCCCTTCCTCCACATCTTTGCCTTGCTGAATTCCTGTTCCTCTTCAGCTCAGAAGTCATTTCCTCCAGGAAGACTTTCTGGACAACCCCTGCCCCCAGGCTGAGTTACATGCCCTTCTCTGGACTCCCATGTAGATATCTACAACATGGCCTCACTCACATTTTATGTAATTCTATTGATATGTCTGTCTCCCCAACTATACTGTGGGATCTTTGATGACAAGGGCTGTGTGGTTCACCTCTGATTCTTATTATATAAGAATATATGCCTGGCCAATGACAGGTGCCTGGCACATGACAAACCTGTCAAATGACAGGTGCTCAAAAATATTTCATAAATCAATGGATCAGAACATAAAAGTAGAGCTGCTTGAAATCAAGTAGGCACACACTAATGAGTGTTGAAATAAATGTAAAGTTAAAAAATGTTTCACAGTGATTTGCTACCAAAGCCACCAAAATAATTTTGTCTCTTTCTCTTGCTTTTTTTTTTCTGACATAATAAAGACAACACAGAAATTACTGACATTGATGGAAACGTTGTGGTAAAAAACAAATGAACAAAAGAAACCACTGACAGGTGAAAGCATTCATTTTCAGACATGAGAAACATGCCCATAGAACAAGCTTGTGTGTGCTAAATTTTTCTAGGTGGAAATTCTTTAAAATTACATAATTACCCCCTTGCTTCAATCAGATATGCAGCATACATTCAGTAGCAATAGGCCTTCATTATGTGGTTAAGTCAGTTGTAAATTTTATCCCCTATAACCACTGACACACAGCAGTTAAGACTGTCTCTGTCACCAAATTCTCCTTCTTTGAAGTATTGAAAAGAAAAGTGTTACCTGAGATCCTGGATCACCTTTTTCTCCTTTTATTCCAGGAAATCCATGACAGCCCTAAAAGAAGACAAGAAAAACAAAATTCCCACTTAAAAAAAATTTTAGCAACCTCATGACAGTTTTATGATACTTGAAGAAATATGGCTTACCTCTTCCCCATCAAGTCCATCAATCCCATCGTCTCCATGACCTCCCTGAGAGATGACAATAGACAGGCATCAGGTAAAAGCAGGTCTCTGCCACACGCTTATTCGGAAACTAATCCCATTTGGAAATCAAATTAAACTAAGAAAAAACTCCAGTACCTTAGGTCCAGAAAATCCTTTGAGTCCCTGCAAAAGATGAAATATCTCTCACTGACAAATCAAAGACAGAGTGTGGATTCAAAGACTGCCTCTCTAAAGTGAGTGAGCATGTATTTCTTTAGTCGCTTCGGGCTATACATCTACAAAGAGGTTAGAGATGCAATTTATTAATGCTAAAGACTCCTTGATATTATTAAAAAGCAGAATTAGTCTGCAGACAGGAAAACTCATCTATATAACTGGAGAAAGGAAAAGAGAGAGGAGTGATGGAAGAGAGAAAATGAGGGAGGAAAGGAATGGGGAAAGAGAGGGAGAGAATGTTACAGAGAATTGGAAATAACATTTACAGAAGAGCCTTACCTTCTGACCCCACGCCCCTGGACATCCTGCAATCCCTTTGTCTCCTTGGGGTCCTGTGTCTCCTCGTACTCCCTAAGAAAAGGAGCACAGACAGGTACCCAAAGTGATGTTTTTGCCAGAAGCTGCCAGTGGTTTATTTTCACAGAGTTAAGACAAAGCACATGGGCACTATGAGCTTTAGAAAAAGTGAATCCTCTTCAAAAAGGATTCAAAAGTGAATCCTCACTCATTTATGTCTGTTTTTCCCCTCTGTATTCAAACATGTTTCCTGTCAACCTTCAGGGCTTTTTATAGACCCAAGATCACAAAAAGGTGCAAGAAGAGCTCAGCCACTTCACTACCTGATCAAACAGCACAGTGGCTTCACTTTGTAGCCACATTCCAAGACTCCAGTAATCCATCTACGGCCCTAATGCTATACTGGGAGAGTCAGCATTGCTGACAGTAGACCCACAAGTCAGTGCTAGGGTACTGCTGCTGAGTAGAAACAGTTGCTGGGAAGTGACACTACTAGGAGAATGAGAAAGCAAAGGTGAGAAAAGCCAGTCCTCACAGGAGGAATCACCAGGTTAAAGACCCCCAAAGTCAGACTATCCGTGCAGGGGTGAGCACTGAAGGTCAATGATTTGTGTGTCTCCCACCAACCTTGCTTCTCCAAGGAAATATTTAAATACAGGTAAATGCTAAAGTAAAATGGATCTTAAGAAAGGAACAATTTTGTGCTTTTTGAGGGCAGGAACCCCAACTGTGTCTTTCACCATCGTGTCCCTTGTGACTGGCTCATGTCTAGGTGCATAACAGGTGCTTACATTTTGCTGCATGAATAATTAACTAGTAATGAGCTTAATTCTTGCCTTGCCAGTAAGAGAGGGAGAAAGGATTTTCCTTTGTCCTGCTTTGCTTTCTTTATCCTGAGGATCATTCCCTGCAAAAGGAGGAGGCCTTGCCCATGGCCACAGGTTGCTGAGAGGTACCTTAGCCCTATGGCTTCCCATTGCCTGGACTTTCTGCCAGTGGTGGGCTCAGCCAGGCAGGTGGGTGACACTATTCCCCACACTGAAAGCACTCCCATGCTAGTTTGGAGGGTACAGAGTAGGTGATTTAGAGCACCCCCCTTAGTGGTCATTTTGTAAACTAGGTCAGCCATTAGATTGTAGAGGAACTTATAATTGCTTACAGATGAGAAAACTGAGGGTCAAGAAGTTAGGTATCTTGTTCAAGGACCCATATCTAGGCCAACTCTTGGCAGCCTGACTCTAGAGTCTTTGCTTTCAATCCTTAAAACTTCCTGCCCAGATGAGGAACTGGACTTGATCTAAGGTGATAGAAATCCAGTCTGGATGCTTTCTGAAATTTTTCCATCCCTAACAGAGCCACCTAAGTGGTTTCAGTTTCTTCAAATTCTTTCTCACAATTTGATTGATGAGAAAGTGAGAGTTCTGGTTTCAAACACAGAGATTCGCAAACCTCTGTGTAGCATTTGACCGTGAAGCCATGCCTCTCATCTTGAGGGATGCTTTGCCGACTTCCCTTTCCATGGAAGGGTGTATACTCCAGCCTTGGCCCAAAGCCATGTACTAAGCACTGGGTTTTAGGTCTAAAAAGAGCTCCCTGGCAGATAACCTGCTGTGCCCTGCTTGGGGGTAGAGAGGAGGGTGCCCAGGTATCTGCCACTGATAAAAACATGCCAGGCTACACGTGTAAGCCTGTTCCCTCCTTACCCCAAACTTAGACTTAGTAACTGCCTCATCATTCAGACAAGGAAAAGTGAAAAGAAAGGCAACCCTTCTTCCCACAAAAAAGCACAAAAATAAACATATAAACAAAATAAACATATCAACATATAAAAATAAACATATAAACAAAACCCCATCTACCCCTTTTGTATGAAAATAAGCTTTTTTTATGAAAAAGAAAATAAGTGTGTGTTTGTGTGTGTGTGTGTGTGTGTACAGTGTGTGTGCAACAGGGGGTGAGGGGGAGTAATAAAAACTTACAGGGTTTCCATCCTCTCCCCTGTGTCCTCTGCTGCCTTTCAGACCTTGAGAACCCTGGGAAGAAAGAGAGAACAATACATTTTAGTCACCCCCCCCCAATAAAGTCAAACTTGTGAAATCATTAGGCATTCTAAGCAAGTCCCTTCCTCCAACTTGGTTGCAGTTTCTGCAGATGTGGCCGTGAGTTTGGGGAGAATCTGACAACATCTGGAGCTAGCTTTTGTCCTTGCACTCAGCTCTGAAGCCCCTCTTGCAGAAGGTGACCCTCCTAATGCTTGCGGGAGGCTGACCTTTGGAACCCACCAGCAGATGAGACCCACAGAGCCACACCTGCACCTGAGCGATTTGCAGGGAGGACAGCTGTACCAGCCACAACCCTTTCAGCAGACAAACCGATAACATTTCCAAAGGTATTATTTTATTTTGTCCTGCTATTTTGAGAGCTCAAGGAAGAATAACCACTTCCAACAACAAGATTGCATATATTTTAATTGCAGTCATCTCTCCCTTAGCCACATGTGGTTTAACTGTGTTGTGGCTTACTTGTGGCAAACATTTCATTTGAGTTTGCTTTCCCCACCCTCTAACACAGGCCCAGCTGGCTGATCAGTATACCAGGGGGGTTGTGCTTCTGGAACATAATTCTAATATTGACCTGAGCAAAGTATCGAGAGAAAATTGTGCTAAACAAAACATCACAGTGCAGTAAAAAGTTCAATATAAATTGTCCTTCCATAAGGATGGACAGTGCAGAACTCATGAGCAAGTATTGTTGATCTCTTTTTTTTAAAGAAAAACTTCATTTGTATTGTGATACCTAAAATCCATTTGAAAAGTGCATTAAAGTGTATAAAATATAAATGTATAGTTTAATTGTTATAAAGTAACTTTATAGAACAATATTATAATTTTTATATATATAAGGTCTATGTAGCCACCATGCAGGTCAAGAAATAGAGCATTATTGGTCCCAGGCACAGTGCCTGTCCCCAGTCACAATTCACCCCCAGCCTCTCTCCACAAGGGCCCTCCTGACTTCTGATAATATTTTCTTGCCTTTTAAAAATACTTCACCGTTAAGTATTCCTCCCTAGATACTATAACTTCTAATAAATGGAATTTTACCACATGCATTCTTCTATGTTTTGCTTTTTTTAGTCATTACCATGTTAGTAAAAGTTATTCATGTTGTTGTGTGTAGCTGTAGTTCATTCATTTTCATTGACATATTTTATTGAAAATATCATGACATATTTATTCATCCTATTGTTGTATAATATTTTATAATTTGTGTTTTAAAAGGCTATTAATCTGCAATGCTATGATCTTTTTGTAGTTCAATCTCATTCTGTTACTGATGAAGCACAACTCTTATTTGTTTATTTATTTTTAAGGAGATGGGGTCTCGTTATGTTGCCCTGGCTGGTCTTGAACAATCAAGTGATCTTCCCACCTTAGCCTCCCAAGTAGCTGGGATTACAGGTGCAAGCTCCTACACCCAGCTTCATCTCCACTATTTTTTACTTCTTACCACCTTTCAAACTTTCTAAAGCAGGTACAAAAGTATAAATTGCAAAACCAAGAAGCAACATTGCCAAGGGTATGTAAAAGAAAAGGGAGTTATTCTTGCTAGCAGTATCAAAAGTGAGCTCTCCTGACCTGGATTTTATTCCAAAAAAGTCACATGAAATGTCCAAAGCAATTCCATTAGCATAGAGTGAAGGCTGTAAATTCAACCACTCAGTCTCAGTCCCACCTGTACCAAATCAAGGCACATTAGATAAAATAGTATCACAGGTGAGTGGCACCTTCATGGCTTGTAGTCCTCGGGTCCCATGAGGTCCTGGAATTCCTGGACATTTGCAGAATGTACAGCAGCAAGTCCTCTCTGCAATATTTCCCTGGGGGAAAAAAAGTAAAGCTGAGGGAATAGCAATTGTCAGAAACTTTATTCCATAAGAATTGTACTCATACAAATCATAATCCACCATCTACACGCCCATCTTCACCCTTTGGATGAGGGGCTGCAGAGAATAAGAGGTGCTTTCTGAATTTAACACTGCAGAGAAGGTACCAGGCACTGCATTGGCAACATCGCCTCTCCAGAGGAAATGATCTCTGTCTATAGACAGGGCATCCAGTATGTGGATGGCCATGGCCCAACTTTGCCTAAGACTTGTTGGTTTCTAGTTGACAGTCTTCTGTTTCCTGGAATTTCTGCAGCACAAACAGTTGGGGGCTTTTTAATTCAATTATGAGTTGGTTGGTTTTTTAGTTACTTATGCATTCATTTAGTGAGATGACAAAGAATGAAAGAACATGCAAAAACAAAATACTATGCTATGGTCTTCCACACTTTTTTATATACTAAGGACAAAGCACTTAATTTAGTGGGGGTAAACAAAGGCAGTCTTTGAAAGTTCTCATCAAGATTCCAATTTAGTTCCCATGGCATTTTGAACAACCGGGGATTTTGTTCAACAACTCACCAGGTACTGTGATAGTTTTTTGCCCAGTTCTCTCATTCCAATAGTCAGATGAGTCCTGTAATCGAATCTTTTTCCAAATTCAAAGCTAGAAAACTCATGATGAGCAGTTGTGTTAAGGGACACTACCAGCAGAGCATCAAGTCCTATGTGGTAAAAACCACAATATAAATAAAGCAAAGGGGTTGTACATGAAAAAGAAGAAGACATAATAATTCTACTCAGTGAACATGATTTAAAGAATTGAAAAGGGGAAAAAAACAAACATAAGAGGAAGGAGTACTCCTGACATATGAAGAAACTAACAGAGAATTTGCCTGCATTTTCTGAATATGCACCAGCTCTGGTCCCTGACCGTCGCATGAAATCCCCTGATAAAAAGTATTCAAGAGAAACGATTTACAAATCTACAGAAAAACACTAATAGAAAACTGTGTTCCACATCTTACCACCAATTTTCATGCAATTCTTGGGCACGGGAAAGTGATTTTTAAGAAAGGGCATTATTCATCTCCAGAGAGCTTTGCTGAATTTTCCTGAATGTACATTAATGATAATTCTCAAGTTATTCCCAATTCCAAACACCCCTGGGAGGCCAAGCCCTGAGAACATGAGGAAAGCCCAGGGCAATTGTCTCAGCTGAACTCCTGACCACATCCAGTTCATTCATTAATTCATCTATTCACTCATTAATTCATTTACTAGTTCATTGACTTTATTCATCTTTTCACTAAACAAATTTTTAAATTATTAATAGGAGCCTATTATGTATTAATCATTGTATAATAGCAGAGATACAAATGAATAAGTCAGGTTTACTTCTTTCCTTCCCAGAGTTAATGGTCTAATGGAACAGAGGGTCAAGAATCAGATAGTTGCTCTGAGAAACATCAGGGTTCCATGACAGCCTAGAGGAGAAGCTCCTAACCCATTCTTGGAGAGTCATGGAAGGTTTCTTGGAAAAATTGATGTTGAAGCTGATTCTAAAGGATAAATGTAAGTTGGCCAATGGAAAGAACCAGAGATGGAAGATGGAGAGAGTACCCGGGGAGGTAAGGAGATAGAGGAAGCTCTAGGCAAGGACGGAGAGAAGTGAGGCTGTAAAGTACATGGGGACCAGGCACAGTGGCTCACACCTGTAATCCCAGCACTTTGGGAGGCCGAGGTGGGCGGATCACCTGAGGTCAGGTATTTGTGACCAGCGAACTGGTCAACAACATGGAAAAACCCCATTTCTACTAAAAATACAAAAAAAATTTAGCCAGGCATGGTGGTGGGCACCTGTAATCCCAGCTACTCGGGAGGCTGAGGCAGGAGAATCGCTTGAACCTGGGAGGCAGAGGTTGCAGCGAGCTGAGATTGTGTCACTGCACTCCAGCCTAGGCAACAAGAGCAAAAATCCATCTAAAAAAGTATATATATATATATATCTCATTACAGGAAGAATGGGAAGAATGGGAAAAAATAGTTTCATATGCCTGGAACACTGAATATAAGAAATGAGTTGGCCAGGTGCAGTGGCTCGTGCCTGTAATCCCAGCACTTTGGGAGGCCGAGGTGGGCGGATCATGAGGTCAGGAGATCCAGGCCATCCTGGCTAACACGGTGAAACCCCATCTCTACTAAAAATAAAAAAAAATTAGCCAAGCGTGGTGGCAGGCTCCTGTAGTCCCAGATACTCCAGAGGCTGAAGCAGGAGAATGGTGTGAACCTGGGAGGCGGAGTTTGCAGTGAGCCAAGATCGGGCCACTGCGCTCCAGCCTGGGTGACAGAGCGAGACTTTGTCTCAAAAAAAAAAAAAAAAAAGAAAGAAATGAGTTAAGGCTGAAATGGCAAGCAAAGGCCAGGTTCTGCAAAGCTCCCAAGCCATGTTAAGGAATTTGATCTATATCCCAAGAACAATGAGAAGGTATTGAAGGGAACTGTGCAGAGAAAGAGACACAACTGAGCAATAAAACAGGACATATTGTGGTCTTTAGGGAGGTTGCCTGTGGAAGATGAACCCTAGAAGCCAGTCTGGGCTACACCAAGGAATTCTTAAACAATGCATCTCATTTGACAATTAACGGAGTCTTCCATTGCTGCATCCTACTCTCAACTTCTGCATTTAGCTTCCGGCTCAGTTTGAAGCTATGACATGGACAGAAAATATATAGCGAGAAGTGCTTTTCCAAATCCACGTTGCTATCTTTCATATGGAAAAGAAGGAACAGTAGGAGCTGTCTTCGGTCAGGTTCCCTAGAACTGGAATCTGAAAGAGGATTTTGTATGTATGTGGTGTCTATATTGAGAGAGCAGAAAAGGGAAGGAGATGTTGTAACCAGGGATACATCTCAGTAAATTCTTAGCCTTTGCCTGATTCATGAGGGACTCTGGAATGCAAATTGTACTAGAGTTGACCCATTTAAGCAAGAGTGCCAGGCTTTTGTATCCCTATATCATAGTTGCCCCTGCCCCCACCACCAACGTGGGGCATGGTAACCCCACACCCATTCCAAGCACGTCCAGGTACATGGTTCAGATCAGTCAAGGACACATGTCTATATAGAAGGTCATAAGTCTAAGCACTTGGCCACAGCATTTGCAGCATTTTGGGGAGGAGTGTGAGGGCTGGTCAACGGGGATTAGATGAGGTATCAACAGCCTCTGCTACAAGTAGCTAGGCAGATCTCAAGATCTACAGCATCTGAGTAAAGGTAGAGACTTGTTAAGCATATTCCATGCTTCACTGTTTAAATTTTCAACTCGGCTGGGCGCGGTGGCTCACGCCTGCAATCCCAGCACTTTGGGAGGCCAAGTCGGGTGAATCACGAGGTCAGGAGATCAAGACCACCCTAGCTAACACAGTGAAACCCCATCTCTACTAAAAATACAAAAAATTAGCTGGGCGTGGTGGTGGGCGCCTGTAGTCCCAGCTACTCAGGAGGTTGAGGCAGGAGAATGGTGTGAACCCAGAAGGTGGAGCTTGCAGTGAGCTGAGATCGTGCCACTGCACTCCAACCTGGGTGACAGACTGACACTCCATCTCAAAAAAAAAAAAAAAAAAAACAACAACAACTCAATACCTGCTTCTCTGAGCCTGTCTGATTGATTTTCAAGCATTATGTTGCTTTCACTCTGGAGACCGTCTGAAAAAATAAGCAGCACCTGGAGAAATAAGAAAATGGTATGGTGTAAAAGCTAAATATATAATTGGGGAATGAAGAACAAATGGGAGAATGTGGAGATGGGAGATAGAATGTAATATGGATACCTGGCCCCGGGATGCAGATTTATCCTTAAATGTGTCCCAAAGAGACCGCAAGAACTGTGCGTTCAGATGAGTTGGCCCACTGACGTTGACTTGCAGCAAGCTGTCAAACACTGCTTTCTGATAGATTTGGAACTTGGCAGGGAATCCTTGGTCACTGTTCACCTTAAACGCCAAGCTCACCTGTGCCTCTGTGCCAGCCCCACAGCTCACCCCCTTGATAGAGCTGATGTCTTCTAAGATGCCTGGGAGGTAGGATTCCAGCTGGGGGTGGCCCTGGAACAAAGGCTGCCCCTGCACATGAGTGGAGATGTCAAACCCAACCACTATGTCCATAAAGCAATCTAGAAACCAAGGGAACAGAGTCAAGATTAACGAGTAGACAGGAGTAAGGAAGGAGAGACGGCAGAAAAAAGGAGCACTGTCATGCCCCAGAGCTAGAGGGTCTCTAGTCCCCAAATAGTGTTCAAGAAGGAAGATACTGGCTGCTTTATCATATATATACATATACATATATCATATATATACATATACACATATATATGTGTATATCACATATATATGTGATACCAACATATATCACAGGGGTTTTCTCTGTCCCCTTTAAAATATTAAAACTTCCAATAGCTATTTGAAGTTCAAACCATAATTTAGTCTCATTCTCAGTGACTCTGTCGTATGTGTGTGCGCATGCATGTGGGCGTGCATTTTAATGGTGACATATTTTGATTCACATAGTCAGAATACATTAAAGTTTTGAGGCTGGGTGTGGTGGCTTAAGCCTGTAATCCCAGCACTTTAGGAGGCCGAGGCAGGTGGATCATGAGGTCAGGAGATCGAGACCATCCTGGCTAACACGGTGAAACCCCATCTCTACTAAAAAATACAAAAATAAAATTAGCCAGGTGTGGTGGCGGGCGCCTGTAGTCCCAGCTATTCGGGAGACTGAGGCAGGAGAATGGCGTGAACCCGGGAGGCAGAGCTTGCAGTGAGCCGAGATCGTGCCACTGCACTCCAGCCTGGGCGACAGAGCGAGACTCCATCTCAAAAAAATAAAAAACAAAAAATAAATAAAGTTTTGTGCTGTCTTTTCAGATTATTTAAGTTTTAGAGGTTACAAACACAAATGGCTGCAAAGGCAGGTAGATAAGATAAATGATTCAAGTGGGCAGGGTGTGAGGAAAATGAACTGGAGAACAATGACCCATTTCTGGGTCTGTTCACTGTTCAGTTCCAGCTGAGAGTAGCTATGTGGAAAATGGGGCCTAGTGTTGTCAGATCTTCTGATTTTTCAAAGAGGAGCCTGATGTCAACATTTTTAATGTAGAACCTTCAGTGTGAATGCTGTCAACTAATTTAGCAACTCATCAACGCTGGATGCGACAAACAAACTGCAACTGCAAGCTGCCATTTGGTTATTCTGATCCTGCCCAGGTTGTTCATTTTACAGATGGGGAAACAGTCGTGTGTGGAGGTTGTTGCTGCTGAACCAGAGTTAGAACTCTAGCTTTCTGATTCCAGGCCCTGGGCTCTTTCCACCACTGTAATCTGCCTCCACTTGAGCACCGCAAATGGGACATATAAGATGTGGAGAGTTTGGAAAGACTATCACATTTTGTGAAAGAAGTGATTTCAATCATAATAACTCTAGAAACGTAAGAACTCTAAGGAATTTCTGCATGTTGTGCAAATTCCACAAACTGTTATCATTTGCTACTGCTTCCTTACATGCTGTCCTCTCAACTCCTAGCCTCAAATTTACAGAAGCTGAGTCCCCTGTGGCCACTCTCAGCTGGAGCTGAATAGTGGCATTCCTGTGAGATGCATCATTGTTTTTCAGTTCACTGTCCTCATACTCTGCTCACTTGACTCATCTCCACTACGCACCTGGCCTTTGCAGCCATTTGCCTTTGTGACCTCTGGATTAAATAACCTCTAAAGACAATTCAGATCTTTAGTAGGCTATGATTATATGAATGTAATCATTAAAAGAAGAAAAATACACTGTACACACACACATACACACACACACACACACACGAGTCCCTTACAAGATGGCTTAACAAAGGTACAATAGTAAAACTTCCAATCTGTAAATGTTTATTTTACTTACTTCCTACTGGATGCAGGGCATTTACTAGGAGGACAGAAATAGGAGAGAGAGATCCAGGTGTTAAAAGGAGAATAAACACTGGATTGCCGTGAGGGAACAGGGCTGACCAGAGGACACAGCCCAGGGGTCCCCTCTAGCCTCTGCACCCTTTCCATGTCTTTGAGGGAGGCTGAGTTATCCAAACTTCCTGGAAGCAGAGAAGTCTCTTCTCATTGCACAACAAGTGAGATATTCTCACTAAATATATGTTCTAAATATATGCTCTGCTAGAGCTAGCCCATAAGACACTCTTGGGAAATGGAGAAATGAGAAGTTTCCATGGAAGAAAACCAAACAAGAAGCACTTACTGGTTTTCCCACAGCTCTGGCAGATTTCACGGATGATTCTTTTTTTCACATCCACATTCTTTAATTTATCAAAGTCTTGAAAAGTGATTATTTTTTCAGAATTGCCTGTTATTGGCAGGAGATGTTCCTTATAAACATCTCCTATGCCCAAAACCAGGACACAAATTCCAAGGTCCTTCAGGGTTTTTACTGCATCTGCCACATCATAGCGAGGATCTCCAGATGTGATAACAACCAAAGTTTGGGGGACACCAGCATTTCTTCTCCCACCAGCATGTAGATTAAACATATTGCTCACTTTTTTAAGGGCAAAGTCAATTCTTGGAAATCCACCGCTCTTGGAGACATTCTGAATTTGAGTCTTCCACTGGGTTTTAGTCAGAGAGTTTTTCAACTCAATAATACTCTGGTAGTTGCTTCCAAATTGAGCCATACCAATTTTCATTCTTTGAGACTGAATGTCAAAATTATCGATTAAGTCTGACAAGAAAGTTGTCATGGTTACAAAATCTGAATTAGATACCCTGTCAGAGCCATCGCAAAGGAAAATCACGTCAGCTTCCTGAAGATGACAGACTGCAATAGAAAAAAGAATAAATTATTTTCCTCATGAATCATTCGAAATTTTTCCTTTCCTCATATACTTAAATTGCTTTACTAAATACTTCAATTGATTTACATTAGCAAATTGAGATAAGTTAACAAGAGAGAGAATCACTGATCCTCAAAAAGAAGAAAAAATAGCAAGAGGAGGAAAGATAATGGAGTTTTTTTCAAAGTTTAATTATTTATACAATCCATTTGAAAAGACACTGAAAGCTAATCAGAGAAAGAAAGTAAGAAGTTTGAATAAATTTCACGTACTCATTAAAAGGTGATTATAAAGGGTAGACGTCCCTTCAAAACACCACGATTGGGACATTTACCCCATCAAGATAATAGCACTTACTTACTGTACTATTATTAGTACTCCTATTACTATTCATGTTATCACTTTACATTCATATTGAGGAGTAGCATTTTAAAAATGCTTTTGGCATACACTAACAACATTAATATTCACAACCACCTTATGACTAATTATTCTAATTTTACGAATATAGAAATAGAATTCAGAGGCTAAGTGACTCGCCTAAGAGCACACAGTTACTATGGAGTGGAGCTGGTATCTGGACCTCTAGATCCTTTTTACTCTTAAATTTAGCACTTTTTTTCTGCTGCAATGCTTTTTAAAAATATCATGACTCAAATGTTAGAACTTCTCAGAAGAAGTGTGAATGGCTGGTAAACAGAGCATAAGGTCACCTCCCTGAAGTCCAATCTGAAATGTCCCAAAATCAAAGGGTGACTTTCTATACTCATTTCCAACCAAACTCAATGGCTGTGGTAGCAGCAGCACTACGGTGATTACTAAAGGTAATTGAGACAGTAGGTTACCCACGGTCACAGAATTCCTTGTAAGGGTAGTGTGGCAGACACAAAGATGGGCTGCCCGGATAGACCTGCAAAGAAGAACTTACTCCCCAGCTATGGGAGTATGGGCAGGCGGTAAACAGCTTCTAGCTGTCAGCACTTTCAGGGTCTGTCTCACTATAGAGAGATGCCTTGCCAAAGGTCATGCCCTTCCTAGGGCCACCACATCCAGGCACTAAGTGGGAAGGGAGTTCTCCCTTAGTCCAGCTGTTTCAGGCTGAAGCTGGACAGCTCTCATGGGCGAAATTTGCTTCAGAGCTCTCTGCTAGGTTTGGAGCTTTGTTTAGCCTATGTCACTATTTGAGTTATTTGGTCCATCTTGCTTTCCCCATTTATTTTACAGGTGTGGATCCCTAATAAACATCTTGCATCCCAAACTCCATCTCACCACTACCTCAAAAATGTAGGCATAGGAAATGAGAATAAAACAGCCTCCACATTCATAGGAAAAGACTGTAGTCTTAGTAATGCGCCAGTTTTGGAGGACACCCCAAACAAACAAGATTAAGCCTGCCTGTGGAGCTTGTAGTCTTTTGATAGATACAGATAGGAAAACAGCAAATATGTGTCAAGTGCTACCACCTGGAAAATAGAAGGAGTGAGAGTTGGGGGATACAGTGGGGACACGGGGTCAGGTTTTGGGCCAGGAAACTAGCAAACAAAGACTGAAATTTGACAGAAAAGTGAGACGTAGGCAGGCACAGTGGTGGGCTGGAGTGTTCATGGTGGGCAGGATAGTGTGCACAAAGATGTGGAGGAATTTCAGAAGGACAGGGTAGATTGTGAAGAGGGGAGAGGTGATCAATGAGGTTGGCGAGGTGGGCAGGGGCTAGATAGAGCTCAGGAGTTTGGAAATTGCCCCAAGGGCACAGGGAGGCCTCCAAGAAAAACACACACACACACACACACACACACAAAAAAAAAACACTGTAAGCAGAAGAGTGACCACATCCAGTGTGTAGAAGAAAGAACATTCAGTGTTAAGTGGACTGGCAGGTGTGTCAGGACTGAGGGAGGGGAGCCCACGCTTCAGACTGAGAGTCAAGGGAGAGGATGGAACAGGCAGAAGAACTGGGGTGGTCCTGCTGCCTTGGGAAAAATCATAATTTTCCTTGGATAAAGATGATACCATCATTCAATATCTGAAACGAAGAAGATGAATTAATTGCTTACTTAAGTAAGGTAAAGCTATGGTGGTCAGGCATAGTTTTATTTAGCCAAGCAAATGCTGATCTGACACAGGATTTGAGGTAAGGTTTTGTTTGGAGTTGGACAAGTTACAGATATGGAAGTGGGTTAATGTCAGTCTTAGAAACATGATTTATATTAGTGACAAAAGTGAGCTTCCTGTTGGTAGAAAGGAAGGAATAAAGGAGGAAAGAAACAAGAGGAAGGAGGGAGGAAGGAAGTGAAGAAGAAAGGAAATTTGAGAGTTAATTGTTTCATTTGCCAGATTGGGAGGACTGGGCCAATAACAAACCACAAGAATTCAGACCTTCCAAGTAGGCACAGCAGCCCTTCCTAGATGACTTATCAGTCTCTACTGCTTTTAAGACCACAAGTGGCAAGTGTCACCCTGTCCTCACTCAAATGTGATGTCTCCAGCCTACCAACCCCAATGGTAGCTGGTAATCATCTCAGTTCCCTTCCCTCCCTGTTTCTCTCAGCCAGCTTCCATTACCCTACGTTCAACTCTCATATCCTGCCCTCTGCACAGGTGGCGCTTACCCAGAAAAGCACATCAGGCCACTTGAATTTTGATGCCTCTCTAGAATGCCTATGATCTCATTTAGAGGGCCCTGGATCTTTGAAGGCAAAAGTCTATCCATTTAAACCATGAAACTTTCCGTTTGAGTTTGACCTGAAACTGATGTCCAGTGGCTGCATTGAGAGCATTAACCAAATGGAGCACCATGAGCAGCCATTACTTGGGGTAAGGTGAATATGACCCTAAGAAGAATTCCTTTCTGCCAGAAAAAGGCAACAGAGTAGTAAAATGCCACGGAATGCATCTGGAACTTTCCTGTATAATCTCTTCAGTGCATGCTGTGGTGAGAAGGAAACTTTGGGATCTTGTTCAATCAACCCATTTCTTTTAGAGATGAGAAAACTGATAGCCTGAGCAGAGAAATGTTCAGTCCATAACATCCAGGTAATCGGAGACCTGAGACTTATGATTTACTTTTTGTTTAAACTTTTATTGCTACCCCCATAGAAACTTTAAAAGTAACAACTTACCCTCTGGTGCTTCAGTACACATACGTTCTTGAACAAGTGTGAAAACATCTTTCAGTTTGTCAAAATTATCTACATAGATAGTATTGTTTTTATTCCCTGCCATACCCTCAAGTTCCTTTTGGTTGGCCTTTCCTACACCCACTGCAAAGATGGTGATGCCTTTGTTTCTCAGTTCCAATGCTGTGTCATTGAGCTGATCATGGTCATGGGATTCCCCATCGGTGATGACAATCAGCATCTGCTTCACATTTTGCTTGATGCGGCTGCCATGTTCCTCTGTAAACAGGGCATTTGCGTGCTTGAGAGCCTTGGCAGTGTAGGTGTTCCCTCCAGTGTCCCTGCGCTTCCGCAGATTCTCAATTATTGCTGATCTGTTCGAGTATGTATTAAGGTAGAAAAGGATGTTAGGTTGGTCAGAGTATTTGAGGGCTCCAAACTGAACTCGGTCCCTGCCAACATCTGCTTTCTTCACCAAATGGATAGTTAGGTTAATCATGTGATCTTGATATTGTTTTTTTATGCTACCTGAATGATCCAGCACAAACACAACGTCTAGTAGTGTAATCCTTTTACAATCTGAAAGAAGATGAAAACAGGAGTCACAAACTTTCTGCAGTGCATTCTACGCAGGGTGCTGAGAAGGGAAGCGAACTGGCATTTGCCATGAGCCTACTATGTGTCAGACACTATATCTCACTTAGTTCTTAGAGGTGGCTGCTGCCATTTTACAGAAAAAAAAAGTCAAGGCTCAGAGAAGTGCAACTTGCCTACATCATGACTCCAAAGACATTTGTACCCTATCTATATCACTCCAGGTTTGCTGGTCCTTATGCCACACCACTCTATTTTGATATATCTCATTAGGACATGTAATGTCTTTTGCTAAGCAGGCTTTCAACTGAAAGGCAACGTTAGAAGCTAGTTCCATGCCAATGTAATGGCGAGATATACTGATGTTTGCCAAACTGGCCTGCTATTTCGAAAAGCTCAGGAGCTCACTGTATAAGTTGGTAGTTTTACCCTACTCCCTCTGGCTCCAGGTATCTTTGGACCCTCGGGTATGCAAACCATCCCTGTTTATCATGTCTCTCTGCAGTTATTTATGCTTTTTCCCCTAACCTTTTGAATTAGAACTCAGAAAGAAGTGGCCCCAAGTAGGAGGAGAGCAAAAACTCCTATCACCTTTTCCCTGACCCCAAACCCTCCTCCACATTGTAAGACAAATGACTGTTTTGGCTGGCTTTCCAAAGTGTGGACTCTTTCCCCACTCTTTTCCTTCCCTCAATAACTTATGCACATGTATTCCAAAGATTGGCTTTCTCCACTTTCCACCTGCCTAGCTAATTGTCAACTCTTATTTCTAATAATAAAGTCTCAAATTTTTAATTTTCTGACACTGTGAATGTCCCCAGGCTGTATCTGTAAAAACCTTGGTCAATGACCCACTGAGAACTGGTGACTAGTCATGACCTGATACTTAGGAGACAATCTAATGCATGAGTCAGCTGAATTTCAGGTTATGCTGTAGACAGGGCCTCCACATTTACATTAATCAAAATGAAGAAATGCCAAGAAGAGCCTTGCAGGTTTCAAAGTTGAAGCTATAGCCTTTAGGTACACCTCTCAACATTATCAAGAGTTTTGGAATCACTGCCATCTTTGGGGGAAGAAGAAAATTCCAATTAAGCTGTTACCAAGGAAACTTTAGAACTATCACCTAACACTTAAGTGTTTATAAGACATTATGTTAAGTTTCTGAAAATTCCACATGCATAATTTTGACGAATAAAGTCCAATGAAAATCTCTATGTTGCCACAGGAACAACACAAAACAAACTTACTTGGGTTTGTTTTCTTAGTTGTATCCAAAACACAGAAAATAGCACATGATAGATTTAAAAACATAGGTGTTTTAGTCTATGTGTGGATTGAGAGAAAGCTCTCATTCAAAAGACATTAAAATTGATAGGCTCAAACTGAAGGTTGCACAATACAATTTTAAAAGCACTACAATTTGTAAGAATAAAATGATGACCCCAAGTAATCAGAAAAGTGACAAATTACAATTTTTCAAAGGGATGGATACACGAACAGGCAAATATAAAATATCCAGTTGATAGAGGTTAAGAATAATAATGTGAAGTAATGAAAATAAACTATCTTTAAAATACCCAGGGTTTTCTTGGTGGGTGGTGCTTAGGATACTAGATATAATTTAACTAAAAGAAAGACGAATTTGTATTTCTAGTTATTTTCTGCTTAACAATGGTCATAGATAGCCAAGAAACAATTCTAGAAAATCATTTGGGATTAAAAACTGGCTCTGGAAAATCCAGGCATGTGGGTATTAAAGATTTGTAAGTTTAAAGTAAAATTCTGGGATCTTTTTGGAACATATTTGAAGTCACCAATGCCATACTAACTTGTGCCAAACTAGATGCCAAAATTGTTAGTCTGAAACATTCCTGGAGGTCACAGGCATTTTAATATTACATAAAGAAGACCAAAACTTAACACTGAAGTCCAGGTGGAGGTCAGGGCCAGAGTGCCATTCACTGTTTCTCATTATAAAGTCAACAGCTCACATCCTTTAGTCCTGACAGATAACAGGGACACTTACCATGGAGAGCACACACACGAAAGATAAGTTTCCTTTCTAGTGCCTTTAGATGATCGAAGTTCTCAACATGAAAAACTAGGCTGCTATCCCCACTGATCTCTTCTAGCTGAGATCTATTGGCATTGTATACTCCTACAGAGAAGATGGTCACATCTTTGCCCCGAAGAATTCTAGCAGGATCTCTCACATCATCCTGCGCTACTCCATCTGTGATGAGGATGAGAAATTTTTTGGCCCCCAAACGGGCCCCCTTGGAGTGGGTGAAGTATTGACCTACAAAATTTAGTGCCTTTCCAGTTAAAGTGCCTTCATTGATGAGAGACATTCTATCTATTGCATCAGAAATTTCTTGCTGTGTAAAATATCTATTAAGCTGGAACTCTTCCTTAGTTTTATCACTGAACTGAACAACACCAATCTGGGTTTTGTCTGCACCAATTTGAATTTTAGTTAACAGGTTTTTCATGAAGATTTTCATTTTCCTAAAATTTTCATTTCCTATACTCCAAGAACTGTCCACCAGAAACATGATGTCGGCCTTCATGTCTTCACATCCTGCATGTTATAAAAAAAAAGACCAGAAATAACCAGGTTGGAAAGGTTCTCATGAAGTAACATTAAGGCAGAAACAAATGCATTAATGAGAAAACATTGAAAATTAACTCAGGCAACTGTTGTTATGTTTGAAAATTGTATTTGCTTCTTTAGTAGAAGCTGGTTGACTAGAACCTTGAATCAGAAATGCAGCTTCCAAAATGTGTATTTATTCATGCATGCATGCATGCATGCATAACTCATTTATTCATATTTCTTTCATTCATTCAATCATAATTTTGAGTTGTATAAAATGCCAGGCATCCAGCCATGTGTTAAAGATGCAGTAGTGATACAAAAAAGGAACCAGAGCCAAAGCAATCAATTCCTTGCACTCATAGTACTAACACTCCAGGGTTTTATGTATATTCTGGAGAAACACAATTTCAAATAATTTTTAAATAGCATTATTTTCTGGGATAATTCTAAGTGATTTCATAAACACTATAAATCAATATTAGAAATTGGAGAAAAAGTTTTTACTAGAGATAAGTGCTTCAGTAAGCATATACTCATTCAACATGGACTGTTCCTTTATACATAATATTTGTAGACAGCCTACTGATTGGAAATGAACATACAGACATACGTATATATATATATACATATATATACACACATATGTATGTTCATTGTTCTATGTATAATATAGACATATGTACACATATAAAACCAATTTCTATAATCTATTAAAAACAATATTATTAATTCATGATACATATGTTGTGTATATATATAATATGCAAATATATTGTCTTTAGCATGTATCTTTTTAGTCTTAATCCCTTTTGTCTATCTGTAATCTCTGCCATCCTCTTACAGTTTCTCCCTCAACATTCTGAAGTCTATCCCATACTTCTTGAAAATAAACATAGCATCAGCCATATATTAAAAAAATGAAAAGATGTTAACTATTACTTAATAAACGTGTAAGGTCACATTCTGATCCACCAGGAGGACTACACCACCATTTTAAGATTCAAGCTGCCATGGAACCATCTTGAAAGTCATGAGAGGAGAAATTGCTGAAGATGTTTGTGGCCTTGACAGAGTGGCCTTGACCACTGTAGTGAAGTGTGAAAGATTCTCTTCCATGTAACACATATAAAAGAAATAGGCTTCTACATACAGTTTAGTATTCACAGGATCTACTTCCTGGTATCTATTTGTGACAGAAACTACTTAATGTCCCTGAATATCTATCTTTCCATTCTTCTATGTTAATAAAATTTTAGATAGGCAGATGATTGCCCATCTAAAGATTGTATTTCCCAGCCTTCCTTGAAGCTAGCTGTGGCCTTGTGTCTAAGTTTTAACCAAAAGGTATGAGAAAAAAGTGATCTGGCCACTTCTGGGTCTTACCATTAAAACAGTTGAGTGTGGTAGGCTCCCTTGGTCCTTTCTCCCTTTCCATGGATGGAAGGTGATAAGAACTGGATCTTCAGTTTTGACCTAAAGATGGAAGCTATGTGTTGAGGATGGAACAGCCTCTCTACTAGACCTGGACTATTCACCCTAAACTATTATGTAAGAGAAAAATGATATTCTGTACTGTGTAGTCTGGGGTCTTTTTGCTATTGCAGCTTAACCTGTACCCTACTAATACACTGTGCCTCACTCCATCTGCATCTGCTCTGAGACTCCTTAGTTTTTTCTAGCTCCACAAGCTTTGGCTCCTTTGTTTTCCTGCTTCTCTGTTAGCCATTTTATGACTCATTTCCTTGTCCACAACTTATCTCCTCCTCCAGGCATGCCAGTGCTCAGGCTGACTACTTCAACTGCAACTACCTGAAGTGCAAGGGATGTACTGTACCTCCCTAGATTCGTCCAGGACCTTCTCCCTTGAAAGGATCTGAGATACAACCTACTTTATGCTTCCTGGAATCCTTTTACTTTTCTTAGCATCGACTCCAGGAAACATTGGGGAATCTTTTATTCTTGCACTCTTTCTAAGACACCCTAAAGACCCAACTCTGTTACTGTCCATAACAGGGAGAAAAATGAACAAAATTGTTACTTAGGATTTTGTTGTTAATGCTATTTATTTGCTTACTTATTTTTTATTTTTGTTTTTCAGTGGCTTAGAGAAAATTCAAACACGTTTTCAGTTTAGTCAAATAAGTGAGAATTCTCTTCCTTTCCTCATCGGTGAACACCTTAGCCACCTTCTGCAACAGCTAACTTTTTTGTAGCGCTTACTATGTTCCAGGCACTCCTCTAACTGCTCCACGTGTGTTATCACCATTAAGCTTCACAATAAGCCTACAAACAAGGAAACCAAGGCAAGTAGACACTAACTTATTCAAGGTCGTGGCTAATCAGTGGTAAAGCTAGGGTATGAACCTTGACTCTGACTCTAGCATCTTTCCTCTTTACCAGTAAACTAATGTGCTTCTCAGCAGGCAATATTTTCATGTGCTAATACTGGCAATCAACACATACCATCTTGAACTAGTAAGTGGTGTAAGTGGCCATTATTAATAATAGAAATAAAAAAACAACCAGATATAGAAATTTGCAAATTGTTTCTCCTAACTTTTGGTACTTAATCTCTAATTAGAACAAAAATGCAAGTATGTGTTTTTGTTGTAAATAAAAATGAACAATTATTACATATATACTTGATATGCATTTAATATAAAAATAATGGTTGGCATTTATGGTGCTCAACTTATAAGGATTCTCTGATGTAGGTATTATCCTCATTTTATAAATGACAATGTTCCAGGCTCAAGTGGAAGTATGTGAGTCAAACCCTAAGCTATCTAGAGCCAAAGTCCATTTTCCTTCCACTGTACCCACCTGTGCACACACAAACACTGTACTTCCCCCGTACTTATTTGTGTATGCACATACATACACACACACACACCTCCCATGCAGAATAGAATCTCTCTCACTCCACAGCAGTGGGCTTTGTCAAGGCCCCAACATTCTTAGCAACCTTCCCACTTATGACTTCCAAGATGGCCTTGGGGCAACTGTTTATAGACAGATTCTCCAGTCTTGGCATTTGGTTTAAAAGTGAGGGGCTGAATCCCTCCATGGTAATAAAGGAAGCTAGCAAAATGTTATCCGGACAACTGGTCACATCAGGCCTTGTCTCAGCCTGGCCATTAATCTGCCTAAAGCAATTGATGAAATGTGGAGAATAAAGCCTTTTTTGTGTTGCTTACCTTTTTCAGCGCAGATTTCACGAACGACTTCATTTTTTATGCTTTTCAAAGCATCAAAGTTCTGCCCAAAGCTAACCCTTTCTTCTTTCCCAGCAATTTCTTGCAGTTCTATTTTATTAGCTGCCCCAATGCCAACTGCATGAACAGTGATTTGCTCAGCCCTTAGTCTCTTAGCAGGTTCCACGACTCTGTCTGTGGACATCCCATCAGTCAACACAATGAGGTAACAGGGAACCTTGCTCATTCTATCCTTCATTCCATTTTTTATTATTTGCAGTATGTAATCCAGAGCTTTCCCAGTATAAGTTCCACCAGTTAGTTGCTTAATGTTAAAAATAGCCTTTCTTAAGTCAATATCATTAGAATAGTCAGTGATATAAAATTCCACTTCTGTGTCATCTGAATACTGCACAACTCCAACTCGGACTTTGTCTGGGCCAATGCTAAACATTTCTGTCACTTCCAACATAAATCTCTTGATTTGCTCAAACTGTTTCTCCTGGATGCTGCTTGAGCCATCAATGAGGAAGTGGATATCAGCCTCTTTTGTATCCACACAGCCTGAAAAAGAAGTGCATTCTCTGTAAATTAGAGAACCTAGAGAGAACTTTGCAAGAGGGTTTGTGAAGGAACATGAGGCTGAGGCATTTCTAAAGAATGAAGACTTCGTTTTTGCGTAGAGCCTGCACACTTCATTAAGCACAGTCATGCCCATTTTCTCCTTTGAAATTTACAACACCTTGTGAGAAAATTGAAACAGGGCAAAATGTAGTGGTTTGTCTAAGGTCATATAACCAGTAAATTAAAGAGTAAAGACCAAATTCCAGAGACTCCAGGCTCCAAGTTAAATAGTTTTTCTAGCATTGACACCTGCCTTCTTAGACAGTTTATGTCCTATCATTTCTTGAAAAAAGGCATGGGATTGACGATCTTCTATTCTTACTTCACCAATAATCTCTTCTTCCCAGAGCAACTAGAATAAGATATTTAAATATAAACTTAGATCATATTATCCTACCTCTTAAATGATCTATCGTTGCATTTGGAACTTAAAAACTAAAACTTGGCCTTATCTTGTCTCCTGCTTTTCTCTCTGACTCTATTTCCAGCAATTCTTCGTCTCCCTCACTGTGTTCCAACCACATTAGGCTTCATTCTGTCTTTAGAACGTGTCCCTGGGTCTTTGCATGTGCCCTCCTCTCTTCTTGAAATATTCTTTGCCCCAAATATCCACATGGCTGCTTCCTTCTCATCATGGATGTCATCAAGTCATCTCTTAAAAAAGGTCTTCTCTTCTCCTTATCTAAAGCACACCTGTCATTGTCTATCTTCTTACAGTGTTTATTTTCTTTATGTTACTTTCTGAAGTTACCTTCTTCATTTGTTCATGAGCATGGCCTGTTTCTTACCACAGAATGTAATCCATGAGGACAAAGATTTTGTTTATTTTTCTGCTTCTGCCCAGTAGGCCTGGCACATCATAGGAGTTCAGTTTGTTTTTTTTAATAAAAGACTTCTCAATGTTCCTTCCTTTGTTAAGCTGAATCTATGAAAAACTATTTTTGCTTTCTTAGTAGTCTATTTACTACTTTATGTAGATATTCACAGAAACTGGGTAAGAGAAAGAACATATTTTCAAAATTTTGGGTTATGTGTGTCATTATCTGGTTTTCTTGACAGCTCTTAGGTAATTTATAGCTACTGACACTACTTCAGCCCACGGCAGTTGCTCCTTAGGAAATCAGATATACTGAAAAGAAGTCTGACCCTGAGAAATGAACTATAAAATCAATACATAAAGCATTAGGGCAAAGATAAGCGGTTATCTGCAAAAGACAGGGTTGATCCCAGGCCAACAAAACTTGAAAGTAACCGGAATGCATTAATTTATATATCTAATAAAGAAGAATTAAATGTTCAGCAAAAGAAAGGTAGTGGTGATTAGCAATGAGGGAGAGAAAAAGGTGAGTAGGTAACTGTAGCAATGCCCATTCATCCCTGCCTAGGGCTGTGCTATCCAATACACGAGCCACTAGTCACATGTTGCTATTAAAATGTAAATCTAAACTATCCAACATTAAATAAAATTAAAAGTCATCTTCTTGAGTACACTAGCTACATTTCAAGTGCTTAACAGCTCCATATAACTAGCAGCTACCCTATTAGCATAGATACAGAATATTTCTATCATTACAAAATTTCAATTAAACACTGCCAAAGAATGTGTCCCTTGGCTCAAGGCCTCACCTGTGCATTCATATATACAGATACATATATAAATATAGATGTATGTATTTGATTTTAAAGTAGAAACATCTGCCCAATTGGATGCTACTAAACATTTCAATTGTAAAACTACAGTAACTCTCTTGTTGTGATTCCACCACCCCAAGCAGAGTTTTGATTACAATTTAGCTTCTAATTTGGCATATCTATAGGGAGAGAATGTACCACTTGGAAGATGTGAATGTCCAAGCCCCTGGGCATTGATAGCTCTCATTTTTACATAGATAATTGTCATTCTTTTTCTATACATCAGTCGCTTGAGTTTGGTTAATGTGAATTTTGCCTTGATTTAATGAAGTTTTATGGAATAAAAACTGAACACTTAGTATGTGCCAGATGTAGTAGATATAGCAGGGACTAAGCCAGATATAGATTGTTTCTCTGAGCGTTGATCATTCTGAAATTGCAAAGCTGGCCACCACACTCTAGATCACAGAAACTTCACTAAGGTAGTAGGTCTTAAATGTTGCTAGCCTGAATTCATTAGGGAGATCACTAAAATGCATGGGCCCAGGCCCTACCCTCAGAGACCAATTCAGTAGTTTTAGAGTGATGCTTGGGCAACTGAATTATTAACAAGCTCCTCAAAAGACTCTAAGTTTAAAACAGACACTATTGGTGTTTTCACCTGTATTTTCTCAAATTTCTTACCATTTTTATGCAAACTGGCTGCTAGTGCTTTGCTTTAACTCCCAATAGCAAATGCTATATCTGTAGGTGAGCTGCCCCTGAGTTTCTGGCAACTCCTTTGCCTGGCACTTGAACCAGGAGTGTCCAGAAATTTACATTCCCTGCATGTGCTTAAATGTAAATTCTCTAGTTATGTTTTTTTGTGTTTTTTGTTGTTGTTTGTTTGTTTGTTTTCCTTGCCTGGGACAACTCTGGTGCTTGATATACACTATCTCTATAATGACACCATGGAATTGAGCCAACGTTACTATCCATAGGACTTTTCTTATTGTCCTTTCCTTCCTGTTCCCATTTCCTCATTTTCTTACCAATCTCCATTTTTTTTTCTGGTTACATTTCCTAATATATCAATTTCATGTGAATTTTTGCCAGGCATCTGCTTCTGAGGAGCCCAACTTAAGTCAGGTACCAACATTTTAAAACAATTGGATTACTAAGGAGTTACATAGTGAGGCCTTGTGCCCTAGCTTTGGTCCCATATCTTCCCATTTACAATTTCTATAATGACAATAATAATTTTTTGTGGCATCATTGCAAACTCCTGAAAGAGACTATGCCACATATCCCTCCTATGGTGTAGTAACAGTATTAGATTGAAGCTGGTCTGAGTTCAAAATTAGCCTTTAATATCATTGGAACATTAAAATTCCTTTCCATGTTGTGTGCTGCCAAATTCCAGTTTCAATTGCCTGGAAGCATTTTCTCTACAGAGAAAATGTGTGAGGACAGCAGATATCTCAGAATTAGATGAGCTCAAAGTCATATTAAGTATCTCTTGGCATGTACCTTTGAAAAGAGCTCAGTAAAACTATAGCAGATTCACAAAGAATCTTAACTAGGAGATCCTTCACTGGAATGATAGAAGAAAAAAATAGACAGGATTTAAATGTCAGAAAATAACCGTGATTGTGCATAAAAATACAGGTAAAAGGATGTCCCTGCAAGACTTTTATAAAAACAAAACATTGGCCTATATATCCAACAATTTAAGATATGTTTTAAAAAATATGGTATATCCATTAAATGGAATATTTTTCTCAACCTAAAGGAATGTTTCAAAAGAGTATTTAAGGAAACAGACAAAAGATCATAATATCAAGTTGATGAAAAAGTGGGTAAGGCAGATATTACTAGTTATCTCCAATATCCATTTTCTCCTTCTTCTACACCAATTGAACCACCAGTTTTAACCTAGGCGCTTGGCTTCCCCAAATAAAGGTCACATTTCCCAGCTTCCATTTTTATAACTTAGGTGTGGCATGTGACCAAGTACTGGCCAATGGGATGTAAGCAGAAATGGCACATATAACTCTTGGGAGCATCCTTGAAGAAAAGGTGAAGAGGCCTGGCCCTTTTTCTTCCCTTTTGTCTTTCTTGATTTCTGGATGTGAGGGTGATGCCTGGAGCCATTATTTTGGACAACGATCCTAGGAATTAAGACCACGAACAGCAAAAAATAATGTGGAAAAAGACAGGGTCTCTGACACTGTGGTGTATCAGACTAGCTCAGTCTACCTACCTCTGGACTTATTTGTGAAACAGAAAAAATAATCTTACCCTCTTTCAATTACTGTAATTTTGGTTTCTTCTGTTGGTCACACCCAAATATAGTTGTAACTAATAAAAGTTACCCAATTGTCTATGCCTATACTGTTCAATATGACAGCCACTAGACACACCTGGCTATTAAAATGAATTAAAACTACATGACATTTAAAATTCAGTTCCTCCATCACACTAGCCACATTTCAAGTGCTCAGTAGTCACACATGGCTGGTGGCTGACCTAGTGGACAGTGCAGATAAAGAACATTTCCAGCATCATAGAAAGGGCTGTTGGACAGCACTGATACATACAATGTGGTATCATTTTTAAAAACTGTGTATTTGTCTATGTGTGCATGAATGAAAGGAAGACAGAGAGGGAGAGAGGGGTGAGGGATGAGAGAAGGGAGGAAGAGAAAGAGAGAGGGACAGAAAAGACTAAAGACAACAGAAAAAAGTATTAATGGTTTTATCTGAAGATAGAATTACAGGTGATTCTATTTTCTTCTGTATGTCAAGCCATACTATTACAATATTTTATAATTAACACATATTTTACATTTTATTGAGGTGTGATTTATATGTTATAAAATTGACCTCTTGTAAGTGTATTGTTCAATGATTTTTGGCAAATGTTTGAAGTTGTATGGGCATCACCAAAATCCAGCTTTAGAACATTCCCACAACTCCTGAAAGTTCCTTTATCCAATTACAGTTGATCCTCACTCCCACCCTAGTCCTAGGTAACCACTTATATTAATTTTATAATTAGAAAAGTATTTTAAAAAACATACCAGTTTTATCAAGATTCCTTTGTTCAGCATAAGTAGAAATTTGGGACCATATTTCATTCTGGAGCTTTTTCAGGAACTTTGTACTGTAAGTTTCTAAGTCTGCATAGGACTTCAGCGTGGAAATTGTCTGTTCTGGAGGATAAGACACTATTTCTTCTAACTGGGTATTGTTAGCCCCTTGGATGCTCAAGGCAAACACGTTTACATCCTCCAGTCGAAGGTTCAGCGCAGCATCATGCACCTCATCATCTGATGGTCTGTGGGTGACCAGAACTGCAATCTGAGGCACTCCTTGTGCTCTTCTGCTGCCATATGACTCTGAGAAGCCGTCTCTTCTCATCTGATCAATGGCAGCCCCTGTATTGGATTTCCCAACTTGGATAGAAAGATTCTTGATTTGCTGCTGAAATTCAGATTGGGTTGTGCTTGATTTAAGAAAAGAAATAGTCTTGGCACTATTGCTGTAACTCATCAGTCCAAGTCGCATGCAATTTTCCTTCACATCCATGGAGCTGGTAATGTTCTCAAGGAAGGTCTGAAGATGCCTTAAATTTCCTCCGGTCCCAAGTGACTCATCCACCAGGAACACGAGGTCAGCGAGTGAATCTTTCTGACAGGATATGGGGAAGTGAACTATGCAGACAGAAAATGTGTGAGGATTAGTATAAACCACTGGCCCGGAGAGAAAAAGGTACTTTTTACATTATCAAGCACATTAGTTAGAATAGAGGTAGTCATGATGGATGTAGACAGCATCGTTTTCTTTTAGTGAACAAAAAATCAAAATTCTAAACAAGACTTACAAGGTCGTTGACTTCAAAAGCTTTCCATATGCTGTTCCCTCTGAAGAATGCTTCTGACCAATTTCCCTACCACATCCCATGACCACCACCACTATTATCTCCATGACCGCCATCACCACTTGTATGATCACCACCACCACTGCTGTCACTTCCACCTCCACCACGACCACCACCATCGTCACCACTACCTTCACTACTAGTGAAGTGAAGGAACCACCACGTCCACCATCACCGCTACCTTTACCACTGCCACCATCATTCTCAAGAACTGGGATGCAGGGATGAGTTAGCAGAAATATCTCTTACTACAGGGAGTTCACATTCTCTGGGGAGGGAAGATAACTAGATTGTATTATTTCACACAGTAATAAGTGCTAGCAAGGAAATAAAACAGGTGACTTGACTGAGTGACTACACTGTGGTTAAGGGAGGGTTAACTTACCTAGACATGAAGAAATCAGGGAAGGCCTCTCTGAGAGGATCACATGTGGGTTGAGAAATGACTGAAGAGAGGAATTCAGCCACACGGAGTTCTGAAGGAAGAGGAATTCCGGCAGATAGAACAGCAAGAGGTGGGAACAAGCAAGAAGTCCAGAGTAGTTGGAGCCCATGAGTGAGGGGAAACATTGACAGATGAGGCCAGAGGGAAGCAGGGCCCAGATCTTCTGGGAGTCACATGATCTTATTTAAATATTTTAAATACCACTCCAGTTGCTGAGAGGAAATAATGAATTCAGGGATAATAATTAAGAAACAATGGCCCTAGTCCAGGAAAGAGATAATGATTCTTGGACAAGTATTACAGCTGCTAAGATGGAATGACAAGGATAGTTTTGATACATGACTTAGAGGTAGAACAGAAAGCTGGATAAATTGCATGTGAGTATTGACAACAAAAGAGGAAGTGGTGAAAACTCCTGGGTTTTTGGCCTGAACAACTGAGTGAATGGTGGTGCTGTCTTTTTTCAAGATAGGGAAGATAGTGGGAAAAACAAGTTACAGGGGGGATTTGTGTTCTGTTTCAGACATGGTAAGTTTGAGAAACTACTGAGTATTGAAGAGGAGATGCCAGGTAAGCAGTTGGTTATACAAATTTGGAATCTAAGGGAAAGTACACCGTATTCACATAAAACATAGACTCCAAGCACAGCTGGATGAACTGCAGCTGTGGAAAGCATAGCCAAGAGATAAGCTCAACCTTGCCAAGAATTACCCATCTGTGAGTTCTTAGAAGGCAGAAAGCATGTCTTACTTATCACTATTCCTCCAGTACCTGGTGCCTGGTGAGAGCTCAAAAATATTTATGGAATTAAAATTAATCCTCATAAATCTACCAATCTACTCTGAAATCCCACAGTTAGCTAAAACAAACTCCAAGAATGACCTTCTCAGGTTAGTATTTATTTGCAAATGGTTGTTACTATTAATAATAGTAAACAGTGTGCCAAATGCCATACAAGTCACCTCATTCATATTATATGATAGACACTATTATCCTCACTTTACAGGTAAGGAAACTGACGCTCAGGGTTAAGTAAGGGACTCAATGTCCTAAGTGGCCAAGCCAGGGTTTGAACTCAGACCTTCCTGACTCCGAAGTCTTTGCTCCTAACCTCTAAAAGTCTAGGATGGGACAACACAGCAGATGCAGGGCTCAACACAGCAGAATGCAGTCCACTGCATTGCATTACTGCACCACTGAGGGCATCCCCTCTTCTTCCTGGTCGAACAGAAAATATGAACATGTACTAATAGTGTCTCATTCTAAGGTTATCATTCTTCTCACTGAGTATCACTATATATCAGTTCACAAGCATTTATTGAATATTTATTGTGAGTCTCATACTGTAACAAGATGGTGAAGGAAAGAGAATAGACAGTGATCCTATTTCTTTATCTGTAAGATCCTCACGTATTAATTCATTGAGAAATAGAACACCAGCTCATTGTCAGGCACTGTGCTTGGCACAAAGGACAGAGAGATAAGTTGTCAACCCTGCCCTCATGTGCTACCTGTTTCTTGCTTCGTGATGGTGGGGAAGGGAAGGAGGACAAACACAGAAATGGATAGTTACAGGAAGTGCTGCTGTCATAAGCTGTGTGCAAGGAACCGAAACCCAAAAAGAAATTAGAAAGGAAAGATTCCAAGAGGAAAAGAATGTAGGGATGAGATTTAAATGATGACAGGAGTTATTCAAGCTATAAGAAAGCAAAGGAGTGCAATAAGATAGAGCTCTTGTCAGAAAAAATGGCACAAGCAAAGGCAGAAGCGAGTAGGTATGATGTGTAGAAGTTTCCAATACTTCAACATGGCTAATCATGAAAACCTAACATGAGTTGCAAGAGGTGAGAGTGGACAGATGTAGACCCACCTGGGGATCAGGCACCTCTTCAACCAAGGGTTTCCTTACCTTGCATATCAGCATCGACGGCTCCCTCCTTATACTTGGTTACATCCTTGATGATCTGTGTCATGTTTTGGGAAAATGTGCTGAGGTCTCTGATTGTCCGAAGGTTGAAATGGAAATGGGATGTGGCCATGGCCTTCAGATTTTCCTCAGAAGCTTTCTGCACCCCCACGGAGATAATTTTCACCCCGTCTTTCTGCAGGGCTTTCGAAGCCTCTTCCACTTCATCCTCAGACTCAGCCGAAGCCAGGACCACCAAAATTGGGGGAAACTGTTTCCTGTCTCTCCCATTTATGGGTGCAGAGAAGTAGGTCCTATGAGCCTCCTGAAGAGCCTTTCCTATCTGCAGGGACCCGCCAATGAACTGAAAGTTCTTCTTGAGGTGGTTCAGCATGGGGCTTCTGCCTTTGAAGGTGCTCAGATGGAATTCACTGTGAAACTCGTCGCTGTACTGGGCCAGGGCTACACGGTATTTGTTGGCCTCTATGGGGAGACTGTTGATCATTTTGTTGATGAACGTTTTCACGAATGGGAATGACTTAGGTCCCAGGTGATCGGAGCTGTCCACCAGAAACACGACATCTGCATACACAGGGCCTGGCCCTATCAAAATAAAATAACAAGCAAAAACAAAGTTATCATTCAACCTTTGTATTTTAGACCACAATACTTATTTAAGACTATGTGCTGGTGTTAAGTGTATATCAGAATCCCAAGAAAAGTGTCTTCTGGAGGTCAAACAGAAGAAAATATAATTGCCTTTGCTAAAATGTCAAACAAAAGGGCTTTAGTAAAGTTAGCCAACAGATATACAAGAGACAATAAACTTCTTTTCTTTTTTAGTTCTGGAACCCTAAACTCTGATATTGTACCAACTCAGAAAGTCCCTGACTGGACTGGTTTTGCTGTGTCCCTACCCAAATCTCATCTTGAATTATAGCTCCCATAATCCCCATGTGTCATGGGAGGGACCCAATAGGAGGTAATTGAATCATGGAGGTGCTTACTCCCATGCTGTTCTTGTGACAGTGAGAGTCTCATGAGTTCTCATGGCTTTTCCCCTTTTGCTTGGCACTTCTCTCTACTGCTACCATGTGAAGAAGGACATGTTTGCTTCCACTTCTGCCATGATTGTAATTTTGCTGGGGCCTCCCCAGCCATGAGGAACTGAGTCAATTAAACCTCTTTCCTTTGTAAATTACCTAGTCTTGGGTATTTCTTCATAGCAGTGTAAGAATGGGCCAAAGTTGTTTGAGAACTAACAGCAATTTTTGAAAACGTTATAGAGTAAGCAATTGTCTCAGGTGGGAGAACAGAGTCTAAGATGGGGATTTCAGATGAAAGTGCTTGATTGAGGGCGCGCAATGTAAGAGAAACAGGATAGGACAGGGAACAAGCAGAGAAGGGCATGTCATCCGGTAAGGTCTAGCTTTGACCTGCTCTGCAAGGGGCTCTGGAGCCTAAATTACAGCAGAGCTGTCCCTCTTTGAGGCAAGAGGGCCAGTTTTTTGTGCTACCCTATTAGTCAGTCATTGGCTGCAGACCATCCCCAGAAGTTGGAGAGAAGGAGCAGAAGGTTGTAGGCAGAACCTCTTGGTTAAGTGGGAAAACTGAGAACAGTTCCCCTGAGAAAATGGGGCACAGCCATGAGCTGTTGCCAGCAATATTCACAGTAGCTGGGAGGTGGGTGCATCAGCCAGATAAGAAGAGTCTGGTAAGGGAGGTGCCAATAGTATCTACCTTAGCAGTCATGGTCAGCCGTGCTGCTCCTGAAATTAGTAATGTGCTAGTAAATGTCTAACAACTGGCTCTTTCAAGGTAACTCAGAAATGCATCAGGAAATCTTAGAGTAACACAGTGACAATGCACAGTTTAAAATACTTCTTTGAATGATGTTTTTAGTAATTACAAGAGAGTATAAAAACTTACTTTTCATGCATGCTCTCTCGCTTTTCCTATACAGACAGGCACACAGACACGGACATACACACACTCACACAGTCGTGTGCTTCACAACGACATAATGACATTTCAGTCAACAACAGACTGCATATATGACAGTGGCCTCATACAGTTAAAATTAAGCTGGCTGGTCATGGTGGCTCACACTGTAATCCCAGCACTTTGGAAGGCCAAGGTGGTAGGATCACTTGAGCCCAGGAGATTGAGACCAGCCTGTGCAAGATGATGAAACCCTGTCTCTACAAAAAATATAAAAATTAGCCAGGTGTGGGGGCATGCACTTGTAGTCCCAGCTATTTGGGAGGCTGAGGCAGAAGGATTGCTTGAGCCGAGGGAGCAGAGGTTGTGGTGAGCCGAGACTGCATCACTCCACTCTGGCTTGAGTGACAGAGTGAGACTCTGTCTCAAAAAAATACGATTATAATAGAGCTGAAAAATTCTTATCACCTAATGACATCATAGCTGTCATAATGTGGTAGTGCAAGGTATTGCCTTTTCTGTGTTTAGATGTGTTTAGATATATAACTCCTTACCATTGTATTATACTTGCCTACAATATTCAGCATAGTAACATGCAGTACAGGTTTTTAGCCTATGAGCAATAGGTTGTATCATATGCCCTAGGTGTGTAGTAGGCTACACCATCTAGGTATAAGTATACTCTATGATGTTTACACAATGACAAAATCACCTAATGATGCATTTCTCAGGAAGTACACCCATTGTTAAGTGACGTATGACTGTGTGTGTGTGTTTGTGTGTAAATATATATTTCATGCTTGTAAAAGGAAAGGAAGGCAATGGTTTTAGTCACGAAAATACTTAGAATTTGTTTTCTGTGTCGGGTTCCTTTTCTTTCATTTATGAGATCAAGATTCAAATGGATCTATAAACAAATGGACTGACTCAATCCATGGAGACATGTAATATTGAGATTGAAGCAAATTAATGGATAATTAAAGTTTTTCTAGCCAGGTGCAACATAACTCCTGACTTTTGCTCATGGCTTTGTGCTGTCTTTCACAAGTTAAGTTTGTTTGATGTTGTATAACAATTACTAAATGCTGCATACTTTGATTTTTAGTAAATAAATTATTTCTTGCTGTTTATTAAAGTTTACTGAGATGTAAAAATATTTCCTAAATAATAATAAACGTAAAATATACTGATACCTGGGCTCTGGTCTGCCAATGTTTCAGTCCAAATGATTAGGACAAATATAATTAGCAAGATCTTCATTTTGTTAGTGAAGATTTTTACTTTTGTTCTGCAAAAGAAAATTATTTACATTATGAAAAATTTTATTTTATACCATTAAGTAACTGTCAGGATAGTTGTATTAGGGCATGGTACCTGTAAACAAGTATTTGTCAAGCAGTGCCAAGTGTGTTTATAAAATTCATCAAGCATTTGGAGTATTTGTTGAAAATATTAATGCTAATGTTTGCTGAGCCCTGGCCAAGGCTCAAACACCTTTCTCAGTGCTTGACAAGTGTCATCTAATTTAATCCTCACAACAATCTTATAGGGAGGTACAATTACTACACTTATGTGACAGAAAAGGAAACTGAAGCACCAAATGGCTTGGTAAGAGGTAGATCGATCCACAGTACTAACCCAGACGAAGCAATTGCATCACCTAACCTCTTAACCACTGTGTCATAAGCTTTATACAAAATTACTGTCCTCGCAAAATTTATGTAGTCACTATTCTCTACCCTTTATTGTTATGCCACTATCGTATATGTTTATAATTTGGCTTAAAAAGCCAACAGCTACACGTCTCTTCCTTCACTAAGCCTTTGTGAAAACTGCTTCCTCACTTACAGTTATGCTCAATTTCACAAACTACCTTAGGTTTGGTTTTTCCACATAGTTCACAATCAATCAGAATGCTTCATGGGAAATTAAAATCTCAGGAATTTAACCAAATCAGAGTTTGTTCTTTATAAGAATAGAAATAGATTTAAATGGCCGATACTCAAAAAATAGATCTCCCTTAAAACAGATACCAAAGGTGTAAGGGCTGATTTTTAGAGTCCTTTTGAAATTGTTACTCATTCAGGAAGATTGATAGAATCATTGGAAGCTGGATGTGGAGAAGACCCTATAAATCATTTAGATTAAGCCCCCAGTTCAGGGGAAACAACATTTTTATCACCCCAAAAAGAAACCCCAAACCCATAGCAGTCATTCCCCATTCCCCCACTCCCCTTCTATAGGTGCTGGCACTGATCTACTTGCTTTCTCTATGGATTTGCCTATTCTGGACATTTTGTATAAACAGAATCATACAATATGTGGCCTTTATGTTTGGCTTCTTTCATTTAGTATGTTTTCAAGGTTTATCCATGTTATGGTATGTATCAGTACTTAATTCTTTTTTATGGCTGAGTAATATTCCATTGTATGGATATAGATATATATATATATAATTTAAAACATTAATTGTCAGTTGATGAACATTTGGGTTGTTTCTACTTTGGGCTATTATAAATAATACTGCTATGAACACTTATGTACATGCTGGTGTGAATATATATTTTCATTTATCTGGACTAGGTACCTAGGAGTGAAATATTTGGTCTTATCATAACTCTATGTTTAACATTTTGAGAAACTGCAAAATTGTTTTCC